>NC_000007.14:144458379-144609894 GCF_000001405.40 Homo sapiens
AGTACATGTCTTTTGTGTACTTATATTTCTATTAGAATCTTAGAAAATACAAGTTTGAGACCATCTATAAAATAAATATATTTATTTATCTCAGCACTGCCAAATAAAAATAAGTGATCACAAATCTAAATTTTCTAATAGCCACCTTAAAAAAGTAAAAATAGGAAAAATGTTAATATCTTTTTTATTTAGCCCAATATATCCAAAATCATTTTAACATAATCAATATATAAAATTTGGGGTCTTTTACATTCCTTTTTCATACTAAGTCTCTGAAATCCATTTACAGCATGTCTTAACTTGGACAAGGCTCATTTTAAGTATTCAGTGGCCATACGTAGCTAGTGGTTACTATATAGATTGAACAGTGCAGTTCTAGGTTGTTGAAGCAGGAACTATATTTATGATTCAATTATCTGCTTTTTTCAGAAGAACATTATTTTTTGGTTTGATTATATAGATAGTAATTTTCATTTCATATGTAGCTATGCGGTCACAGAGTCCGAGGTTATAAAGAGAACATTAAATTCAAAGTGTGCATATACAATCATTTTGAGTGATTTGAACTTACGATGTGAGTGGATCAACAAACACTTAAATACTTAACATGTGTTCAGCAGCAAGACAGACTCAGTCCTCTGCCCTTCAACTTGAAGGCTGAGAACTATCTAGCAGGAACTGTAGAAAGGACAACCAAAAATCCAAAATCCAAGCAAACCTAATGTGAAATTACCAAGAGAATATATACTACATTCTATAAGGTATAGAATAAATAAATGCCTGCTTGGACATGTGGCAAATAATCTTCCTTTTTTTTGAAGGGGGGAGGGAGTTATTTATTTTTATTTTATTTTATTTATTCATTTATTTCCATAGGTTTTTGGGGAACAGGTGGTGTTTGGTTACATGAGTAAGTTCTTTAGTAGTGATCTGTGAGATTTTGGTGTACCCAACACCCAAACAGTGTACACTGTACCCAATTTGAAGTCTTTTATCCCTCACTCACCTCCCACCCTTTCCCCCAAGACCCTCAAGTCCCCAAAGTCCACTGTATCATTCTTATGCATTTGTATCCTCATAGTGTGGCTCCCACTTATAAGTGAGAACATATGATGTTCGGTTTTCCATTTCTGAGTTACTTCACTTAGAATAATGATCTCCAATTCCACTATTGGGTATCTACTCAGAGGAAAAGAAGTCATTATACAAAAAAGATACTTACAATCTTCTAATTGTACCTGCAAATAATCTTCTAATTTTTCTTCTAATAATTGCAAATAATCTTCTAATTGTACTCTTTTCTCCCAATTATTACCTTCTCTTCCCACTCCTCTAACACTTGTGAAAGAATAACTGGAGGACCCTAATTGCCTATAATGAAATGTTCAAAACAAACACATTCCCTCTTCCCGGCCCAAACATCCTGGCATGGCACTTAAGGCCCTTTGTTATCTGGCTACTTCCTACCTGCTTGCCAGCCACTCTCTGCTACTTGCTGTTCCTTGAATAGATCAGGAATTTCCTGCTTCTACGAAAATTTTTGACGTGTTCCCTCCGAGAACAAATTGACTTTTCTCTGCATATTTTATCCTTCAAGTCTAAACTCAATGTCACTTGCTACCCTGTACCGCTCTTTGATTCTCCAACTGCTACAGGACAAATTAAAAATTCTCTTTTCTATTTACAAAGGACTTGATTGCTTCCCTGGAACACACTTTGTATTTAAAGCTGACTGTTTAGATGCCTCGTCTCAAGCAGGCAAAGTACAGAGTGAGCTTGAAACATCTTGCTCCAGAAAGCAAGAGGGTGCTCAAAAACAGATGTAGACCTGTGAAAAGGACACAACGACTGGAACTAATTTGGGGCATTAGAAAAGAATCCTGAGAGAGAGAGGCATTATAATATATTGAATAATGAATTGCCAAAAGCAGGTGGAGAGAAGAAAACCTATTATTTACAGAAGAATGCCAACTACTAAAGGAAGGAATGGCAGAATTAGAGAATTAGAAAGGCACCATTTGCAGCCACCAGTGTAATAACTAGTTTAGGCAAGAACCATCAATGGATGGATGCTTAAACTACTGGATAAAATGTGGAGAAGAAGGATAGCACCCAGTTCCAAAGCAGTACTCCACGTATTGCTTTTAACTTCAAAGGAAAAAAAGGTAGCAGAGTGATCTCATGAGTCCGATCTTAGCTAAATGATCAACCTTAGCATCACCAATAAAAGGCCATACTGATATCATGTGCCTCCTGCTATGATGCTAGGGATGAATACAATATCACCCATTAATACTTTTGGCCAAAAATGCCTGACCTGAATTGAATCATGGGGAAACCGTAGACAAATGCAGAATGGGGGCAGATGACAGGTTAGTGGGCCTGAACTCTTAAAAGCTGTCAGTGTCATGAAAGACCAAAAAAGTGAAGGGACTTTTCTAGATTAAAACAGACTAGGCTGGGCGCGGTGGCTCACGCCTGTAATCCCAGCACTTTGGGAGGCCGAGGCGGGCGGATCACGAGGTCAGGAGATCGAGACCATCCTGGCTAACACGGTGAAACCCCGTCTCTACTAAAAATACAAAAAATTAGCCGGGCGTGGTAGCGGGCGCCTGTAGTCCCAGCTACTCGGGAGGCTGAGGCAGGAGAATGGCGTGAACCCGGGAGGCGGAGCTTGCAGTGAGCCGAGATCGCGCCACTGCACTCCAGCCTGGGCGACAGAGCGAGACTCCGTCTCAAAAAAAAAAAAAAAAAAAAAAACAGACTAAACAGATATGACAACTAAATACAATGCATGTTTTTTTAGTAGACTCCAGATTTTAGAAAGTTATAAAGAGCACTACTGGGACACTTGGGGAGTAAGCATATGGACTGTACACTATTATTCCATCAATGTTACATTTTGGGGGTAGATATTAGCACTGTAGTTATGCAAGAGAATGACCTCGTTCCTAGGAGATACAAGCTGAGGAATTTCAGGTGTTTATTATTATCATGCCTTCAACTTATTTTCAAATAGTTCAGAATGTAATGCACATACACTCATACTCACATATTATATTGTTTGGAGATTTGTCCCTGCCCAAATCTCATGTTGAATTGTAATCTCTGATGCTGGAGGAAGGGCCTGGTGGGAGGTGTTTGGGTTATGAGGGTGGATCCCTCGTGGCTTGGTGCTGTCTTTGAGATAGTGAGTTCTCTCAAGATCTGGTCATTTAAAAGTGCATGGCACCTTCCCCACAATCTCTCTCTTGCTCCTGATTTCCCTGTGGTGAGTGCCTGCTTCTGCCTTGCCTTCTGCCATGGGTAAAAGCTTCCCGAGGCCTTCCCAGAAGCAGATGCTGACATGATGCTTCCTGTACCGCCTGCAGAACCATAAGCCCAATTCAACCTCTTTTCTTTGTAAATTACCCAGCCTCAGCAATGCAAGAATGGCCTAGTACACATACAAAGAAATAAATGCAAATGTAGAAAAAAAATGTTAGCACTTGGTGAATCTCAGTGAAAGGTATACAGATTTTGCTGTACTGTCCCTTCAGTTTTTTTGTAGGTTTGAAGTTATTCAACATTAAAATTCCACAATACAATTTGGGGAAAAAATTTGGGAAGAAAGGCTAGCAACTTAGGAAGGGAAGTGTTTCCCTCTTGGTTCACCTTTGGTTTCCCTGAAAGCTGAAGTAATGCCATTGCAAAGCATTAAGAAATGTTTATTGATTTAACGTGCATCAAAATAAATCCAAGTTGAAAAAAAGTGTGCCAAATTTAGGAAGAAATTATCTAGTCTATGATATATCTGCATTGCAGCTTCTTGGAAAAGTATAGAGAGAGATGCTGAGCACACAGACTGTGTGTGGTGAGGCCCCTTCCTTTGTCAACTCATTGAAGCTCACCAAGGACAGCCTTTACTTCCACTCATTGATGCAGGAGGCCCTGGAAATTAACTTGCAGTGTCTACCAGAACTTCTTAGTGCTTGTGAAAATGGTAAGAGCAAGACTTATTGTTATGCATGTCTCTGATAACAAGCCATCAGCTGTGCTTTCTTTTTGAGCCTTATCTCTCAAAACCCTGATCTACTAAGACTCTTCCCAAGGTGAACACTCATCACCTCCCTCTCCTGACAACTAATCCTTCCTTGAACTCAAATGTCCAAGGAAGGGCTATTATAATTCTATTTGAAACTGGCTGCATTTATCTTCTTCTCTCTCAGAAGTCACATTTCCCTTGCCCTTGGATGAGGACTGGAATGCATTAGAAGGCTTCTGATGTTCAATTATTCTTCCTTCTCCACATTTTCTGTGTTATGACTCGGCCTGTTGATCGAAAAACAATTAGGCCAGGAAAATGCTGCTGCTTGGAGGAATCAAAACTAATTATGCCAGTTAGAAAATGTTTACAAAGATCATCAGTTTCAAACATTTAGCCCTTTCTAAAATAAACAAAATCGTTATTTTTATTTGTTAAAGAGAATTCCCTAATGTATTATGTCATCAGCATGTTCTACTCATAAAAGGCCCCATGTTCCAGTTAAAGAGCCAATCAGAGCTGCTTTAAGAAAAAAGAAAAGCTTACTGGGCTTATAAAATAAGAACCACAGTCCAAATCCACAAAATGTGACCTTTTTGCATTAATTATTAGTGGTAAAGTGAATGAACTGTGTAGAACTCTGTGAAAATTTTCAGTGTGGAAAATCAGTATCAGATTTAAACGTTTGTTCAAAGAGAAAGGCTGTCCACAGGCTGTTCTGAACTGATTTATTTTGCTCTGTTGCCTTCAAATCCTGTGTCTTGGTGTTGCCTCCTGTGGACACTGGCCTGCCCCAAAACCATCCCACAGGGGTGAGAATTATGACCTGCAGATGCCAAAGATGACTGAGTCGCAGCCATCCTAATCTCTTGCTGCCCGGCTGTAGAGCAAGGCAAGTCATTTTGTACTGCTGGGCCTCAGTGCCATCCCTGAAAACAGAGAGTTGATCTTTTCACTGTAATATTTTATGACTTTTGTTAAAAGTCCCTCAGGTGACCTCAGCATCCATTTGTAAAATGCCAATAATACTTGTCCCCAGTTACCTCTAATACTGCTATCGTGAAGATGAATGAGTTAATGTCTGTGAAGAGCTTTGACTTCTCCAGAAAAGTGTTGAAAATGTGTTGTATTATTATCATCATTTCATCTGCACTGAGGAAGCTTTAAAGTGGCATTTGCTTCTATCCTTCAAATGTCAACAGAGATTATTACAGGTACATCAAACAAACAGAAATGTCATAGAAAAGTGAAAAAAGAGAGGAACATGTGCAGTAGCATGGTATGATTACTTAACATCAATCTCAAACCTGCAGGTGGTATTTATACAAATAAGCTAAAGAGACATAATCCAGGCCCTTTTAGAATTTACCAGTCAAGAGGGTCTCTGTGAATCTGCTGTGATTCTGGGGGCTGCCGGATTTGCAAATCGTTCACTGCTCAATTGAACTCTTTTAAATTTAATTCGGCTGAAGTTTTTCTTTTATCAGATGGTGTCAGAAGTGGGATCCAAAATGGAGCTTCTAGCATCCCCCAGCAGTGCTGAGTGAATATGCAAGGTACCTGCAGGACCCACTTGTGTCCACTCATCTCTTAGAGCTGCTGGGGATCATGGGTAAGCTCCTTCTTGGATTTCGGAGCTCCGCTGATCTCTCACAGCCACTGGGGATCATGGGTAAGCTCCCTCTTGGATTTCCGAGCTCCACTGATCTCTCACAGCCACTGGGGATCATGGTTAAGCTCCCTCTTGGATTTCCCAGCTCCACAGATTTGTGTTTTGAGCTCTCTGAGTTTCTTTGAGCAAATTTCTGATCCAAACTGGGTTTGGAGTTGTGACAGAAACTGGACTGGGTACAGGAATGGATTTGATCTGGGAATTAACTGGCTTGGATCCAGTTAGAAGCCTCTTACATCTGACTGGGTCAGAAAGGAACTGGTAGTAAGCAGTAATATTGCAGGAGTTATAAAATTTGGCTTTTGAAAAATCAGATTTTTGTGTTATACCCCTTTGTTTCATTTTTCTTACACTTGGGTAGGAAAAAAAAATCACTGGCTAAGTTAATCAAGAGAAGCTGAGCGTAAGGCCAATATTTTAGGTAAAAATGGGATCCTTAGTTTCTGGAAAACTGAGTTCTTTCTGGCTTACACTTCAGGCCTGGGAGGCAGCGAAGTCTTACAGAAACAGCAAAATGTTACTAAAGATAACACAGTGGAATGTTCCGAATGAACAACAATGCATTTGAAGTACATTTTTAAAATGAGGGCTCTAAGTAAAGTCCCTTTTGTCTAAGAATGGGTTTGGCACTACAGCATGTCAACTGCTATTCTCTTTGGAATAATCTGCCTTGCACTCTTTGCTGACAACTGTGGGTGACAGGATTAGGCATGTACAGGATCGTGGGACATGGGGAGCTTTTTCCTCCCTAAAAGGGGAAACTTGAGAGATGATGGGCCTGCTGGAAAAGATCCCTTCGCTACCTAGAAGCAGCCGCCTGAACTTTTTTTTCAGTGTCGCTGCAATGGGTGGGTCTTTCTCTGGCCTCCCAGATCATTTCACCTTCCCCACCCTGCCTCAGGCAATGCTTTTCTCTTTCTCCTTTCTCTTTCTTATCTTTTCTATTACTCAGGGCAACCATCTTGCCCAGAGACCACAGGTTGAAACTCCTGGTTGGAGGTTGGATTAATGATGATGGAGCCCAACCAGGTGCAAATTTGAGCCTTGCCAGTTTGATACTGGGTGCTAATCAGAGCAGCTAATGTCTATGTTTTTGTCACATGTATTTTACTCTGGCCAGAACAGAAAAAGATAATTTTCTTTTCTGATGTGGCTTTGCCCCAGCGCGATGGTGTGGCAAGCTCAGTCATGGAGGCCGCTCAGGCAAAGAGAACCCAGAAGCCTGGCATGCCGGCAAAAGGGTAAGAATTTCTTACCAGTCAGACTTCTGGCTTCTCTCTTTCTGTGCAAATGGTTGACTGAATGGTAAAAATCACTGTTTATCTCCATCTTGTTTTATGTCCTTGGGAGCTTGACCTTGTTACCACGTGGCAGTACTTTCTCTTGGTCTCCTCCTTCCAGGGAACAGGAATTTTAGGGTTTATGTCATAATTAGCTCTAAAAATTATCTTGAGTAGTTAAAAGCCTGTGTAAGCTCACAATTAACTATTCTAGATGCTTTCTGGGAAGAACAGTGAAGACTGCCCTATGCTGTAGCTCAGTTGCTAAGGCTTTGCCCTTTCTTACTGGTGGTCTGGTTTCGATTCCCTGCTTGTGAAATAAAAGCCTTTTCATTTAATTTCTGCATGACCTTGTCTAGTCTCTTCTCCTTCATGTACTATCTTAAATTTTCCTTTCGCTGAGCACCTGGGAGGTTACCTTTGGTAAAGTTCAAAAGCCGGAAATATCGGAGTGAAGGTTAGGTACTATTAGAAGTCAATTTTCCATTTATTTGTGCTTGGGAAGATCTAGTCAAATTAACCAGATGACTGAATCCTTGAATTTACAGAAAGCCCTTGAAGTTCTGAAAGATTTGCCATGTAAATCCCTCTAAGATTCTGGCTCAATCTTGATCAATTCAGCCAGACCAACTGGTCCACTCAGGCCACCTCTTGCTGGTGAAATTCCCGCTCCTCTCACAAAGGCATCTTCCCTGCTGCCTGTGTCCCTACGCGGTGCCCTGCTTTCCTCTTTGGCTCCACTGCCCACTCGAGATTCCCTGTTACAGTGAGTACCTGCCACTCTAGCTCCTCCAGATCTCCTGCCACCCTCCTGCACCAGCCCCTCCCCGACCCCTGCTTTACCCTACGAGGGCCACCGGCATGACTTGACCTCTGCTCCTTTAATAATAGATGGTTCTTTCTTATATCTCAGCCTGAAACTGTGACAGTCCCGAAAATGAAATCTCAGTGGTCATGGTGGCTTTTCATTGTCTTGTGGAAAAATATTTACAACACAGAAATAGGGGATGAGTGTTTACCATCAAGCAGAATCCATTCAATCATATGGCTGTTTTTAGAATAGAATTTCATTTAGTGAGAGTCTGACCGCTGCCTTTTGGGGAAAACATCATTTGATTTAAGTTCAGATGGTCTAATATTAACAGATATGATTTGTTATAGCAAAGGTAATGAAGCAATGTCTTAGACTTTGTCCATAAACCTATAAATATACAAGCTTGCTCCTAATATATTTCATCATGACCTATTTTCATTTTTAATTTCCCCTTGCTGATATACAATAACATTATTTCAATTTAGGAATAGCTGTCATCTTCTTATATGAATATTCTAACAAGTCTGAAAATATTAGCCATTCTTAGAAACAAGCTACTTTAATTCACAATTAATATATTCTCTTTCTCGTTCTCGTTATAATAATCAATTTTTTAATACTCATACCATGGACTTTTTCCTGATGACAGGCTGAACTTCTCTTTTTTTGATGAACCTTCTTTGCATTAACTATCTGCATGCAAAGTTGCATATTATCCCAGCCTCAAATTTATAACCTTCTACTTAGCATTTTACTATATCATTGTGGAGTGCTGACATGTGTAACACTATCTTACACATTAAATGTTCAAGTATTTTTTTCTACCAATTAGATTATAAGCTCCTTGTGGGCAGAAATATGACTTGGTCTAACTTCCTTTATTATAGAATGTCTAATCTGCAAGAAACCTTATCTATTATTTAGTTCAGTGGTTTAATACAGATAAAAGTGAGGCTGCTCCTACTTTAACCAATTTAAAGTGCTAGGCTCAAAGTTCTCTTCACTTGACTTTACCTCATAACCAAACCAAGTTGGCCTTAGGGAACTGGCTAGGTCTTCAGTGCTTCAGAGAATGTATTTAAAGAGCCACTGATATAATATCCAAACACTTTATTTCAAGACAGGGAAACGAATTAAAGATACCTTATTGACCTAGGATGCCCAGCACTGAAATTCAAGTCTGTTGACTTGTAGCTCAGTGTATTCTCTCTTATAACAAAATCAAACTATGGGCCAGCCACAGTGCCTCCTGTCTATAATCCTAGCACTTTGGAGGCTGAGGTGGGAGGATCACTTGAGGCCGGGAGTTTGAGGCCAGCCTGGCAACATAGTGAGACCCCATCTCTATATATATAAAAAAATAATAAATTTTAAAAACCCAAAGTCAAATTACGGGCTTTAACAAATTGGTTGGCTCCTCAGAAGTATTTTTGGATTAGCTAAGCAAAGTTAAATGATTAAAACTACATACTGAATATCTGAATTGCTTGAACATGTGGCTATGTTACCTATTTTTTCCTAAAGCTTAGTGATTCATGTAGATTGACTAAAGTCACAGGCTTCAAGCCGGTGGCAAAATGGATTCAGAAGTTTCTCATCCTTGATTTTTGTGTAAGCTACAGACCACAGGACACAATGTACTTAACTGAAACACTCTGTACTGCATTTTCTTATTTAGAAAATGCACCAATTCCATTTATAAACCACTATCTATAGAAGTGTTTCTTTTGTTGTGTCAGCCATTATTTAATTAAGTAGTATTAACAGTCTAGACAAGGAGGAATGAGGAAATGGTCACACAGGCTTAGCTGCTAAGACATGGTTCAATATTTGGCTTTTAGTAAAAACATTTTGCTGTATCTGTAGTAAACACATTAGATAAAAATTAAAGGTGAAATTTCAGTTAATCCACTTTCACTGCTGATATGGCAAGATTATTAGAAGAAAGGCTAACTACAGAGCCTTTATTTATGATTTAGGAAAATAGACCTATATTGTTAGAGAAGAAAAAAATTCACTTGTTATAAATGGCTGTATTTGCAACTGAAAGAATATCAATATATCAGACATCAATTACACCAAAGATAAGATGATTACAAACCTTCTATGTAGAAAAAACATTCATTTTGAAGTATTTGGAGACAGGGATGGAGAGTGGCAATTTTGTTTTTGTACTAAAAAAATCATTCCTCAAAAGCTGAGTTATGAAGTTTGTACAAACTAAGATTATATTATATCAAAGCTGCAGGTTAGGAAGTCATATTTACTTGGTATGTATAGACAAATTTACAACTCTAATCAATTTGGTAGAAAGTCTACTAAAATTGAACTAATTTTTTAAAAAGCCTGTCAAATCACAACTAGTATGTATGTGTAGAAATGGCCTGAGATAGCTTTTCTGTATTCTTAATTAAGAAATAAACAATCCCATATATTCCTTGCAAGTATCTAGCCTGGAAGGCATGAAAGAACCCTGGCTCCTCCCTGTTCCTTTGATGCCATCAGTGGTATCTAGTTGTTGGGGGTTTCGGGGCAACCTCTGATTCAGACCCTTGTGGCACCTTGTTGATGACCAGGATCTTACCTACTCATTGTGGTCCAATCAATATTGGGTGGAACCCTCTTGATGGCTACCATTTTGACCTCTCACCTTTCTTCTTAATCCATGACACTCTTTGCAAAAAGCAATCTAGGAAAGCAGATATCCTCCCCCTTATTCTTCCTAAAACATCAGCGCCATCGGAGAAATGTGATGAATAATTACCAATATGCCTTTTTAGTGTTGTGCCTGCTGAGTGTTGGTGAACCTCTTCCTCCAGAGATGATGGACATAGTTGTGATGTCTCACTGTTCTATACTTTGCTTGGAGGTAACTACAGACTGGCCTCTACTTGGGCACTTGAGGCCATCTGATGTGTCTGGAGTAACAGCTGCCTCTGATCTTAGGCTTGGGGCAGCTTCACTTATGAGTACTGGCTGTGAGCCTCTGAGGCTTCATTCTGTTAGTGCTGGGGTATCTCATTTTCCACTCATTGATGGAGTGGCAGTGATGTGTGTCTCCTCTTCTCTGAGTCAAAGAGGCATCTCCTACAGGACATGCTGCAGGCCTGTGGATTGGTGCTGAGGTGTTGTAGGTATTTTTGTTCTAAGCATTAACAGGACTGACACTATCTATTTTGGCCCTTATTCCATAGAGGTCTTTTCCTTCCAAAGAAATCCAAAGGCATACACAACCTATCCCATATTTCATTTCCCTGTTGAGGGATGAAGAAATCATCTCAGCAGATTGTTTCTTTCCTTCTCATCTAAGAGATATGTTTATATGTGTACATGGCAACAGGGATGAGGAACCTCCAGATTCTTGGCATGATTTCAGGCATCTGGACACAGCCCTGCCTCTGGTATAGGGCCTGCTGTACTTTCTTCCTTGTATCCTCCCAGGCACTTCACTGGAGAGTGACTGATCTCTTCTTGAGTCAAGATTTAAATATACTTCAACATACTAATGACTTTTATTTACTAGATTTGCCATTTAAGCAGTCTTTATCTTCTGCTGTTGCCCTAGTATTTATAATATCTGAATCAAAGAGGAATAGATTCTTGAAAAACTGTGCCACACACTCTAGCCTGGGTGACAGAATGAGACTCCATCTCAAACAAAACAAAACAAACAAAAAACTGTGCTACAAATTCAGACTGCTTTTTTAAACAGTAGTCTTATATGGGTCTTTTAATGTGCAATGCAAGAATAGTGCTGTGTTTTAGCATGAGATGACGTTGCTTATATAAATGATTTTATATCTCACGAAAAAAATCTATAAAATCAAAGTAAAAAGTTATCTTTACTCTTTTAAAAAAGAGGCTCATATATTAAACATATTGAACCTTATTAGACAGATATCTACCAGGCTTAGTGATGTAAGCTCATGACTCTCAAATGCAAAACTTTAAGGCACCACTGAATTAATATACTGGCACATTCTGCAGGCAAAAGCATTAAATTTTTAACAGTACAATTGACTGTATGTGGTTCAACCTTCAAACATGTTGCTTGTGAATAATTGCAAAAGATACACTCTGGTATGTGATATGTGTTACTCATTTCTAAAATGCAAAGATAGAAGGATCTACTTTCTGTTTTGATTTAGCCACAAATCCAGTGTACAAAGAATTTACTCAGCCTGGAAAATAGTTAAGAGGATAATAAGAAAATAGAAAAGTAACAGACTAACTTCAGGCCTAGGTTCCTCCAGTATAGCTAATTTATGACATTTGAGGCTTAAGAGATGATAATAATTACCATGAGAAAGAAAAATATTACATTTTAAAATCCTGTCTCATTTTCAAAGACTACAGAAAATTTCTACTTGGTGCTTTAATTGCCATTTTAGGATGCTTGAAATCTCTGTCCCTTTCTACTCCCTGGAAATGTTTTAACACTTTGTAAATACGATGAAAAAGGCCAAGTTTCTATAATCTACAAAGACATTCAAATGCTTTATTATGTACAAGAGTAATTCTTAAGAGTAGGGAGTTGTATATATAGTTTGAAAAAAAATCCTAAAATTATAATTGTGTTACTTTCTAAGTACGAAATTTATTGTGAACATTCTGATATTACGTGTGATCTTACGTTTAGTAAAAAAGAAAAAAAAGATTCATGGGTTTAATAAAGGTAAGAAACATTGGAATAAGCAAGCATTCAATAAGAATGCTAAAATGTGCTACCCCAATCATTTTGGTACTAATTCATTATGGTAACAGATTTGCCAAGTTCCATAGTTCAAGACTTTGGCATTATAACAACTACCAGCAGGGCTCCTAGGCAGAATTAAGGGTTCAGTGTGTGTGTGCAAAATTAGGGCCTTGGTGTTATTAGTAAAGAACTGTATTAAAAAGAATGAGGGCAACTGCAATTCTGTTCTACCAAATAAAACATTTTGTTTAGAGATTAAAAAAACAAAAAACAATGAAGGCTATGTTACAGTTATGCAAGGGGTGTTCTCAATTAGTAGAAAACAGTATGCCAATTTGAGAAATTCCATTAAAAACAGAGAATTCCATAAAGGTAGCACCCTAGTTATTACATTAAACAAAAGTATTAATATTGAGTATTATTGCTACAGTTTGTTCATTACTCAGAATCATGTGAGCCCAGGAGAGACCAGGTTTGCTCTGTTCTCTATTATTCCTGTATATTTAGCATACTCAAAGAAAATATCCTAATTATAGATTACAATTACTACATAGCAGACTTACTGTAAATATTTATTGAATGAATAAGTGTGTATCCAAATAAAGATGTCTGCTCTGCAAACCTTCATCCAGGCCCTGGGTCTACATCTCAGATAATTCACCCAGACAGCCAAGACATAAAAAAACCCAAACTCCTTTGGTATTTATTCTCCCTAAGCTCCCTGGTCAAGGGTCTCTAAATGACTTCAAAGGAGGCCCCTTTCCTAGAACTCAGCATTTCCTTAACTGGTGATTGCTGATTGAAGCACACCACTCCCAGGCTTTCCAGAATTATTTAATATTGCTTCTAGGGCACCTTATATGGGTGTGTTCAGAAGCACTGGGGGGAAAAGGAACACTGGGTTCAATGGCTAGATCCTTGTTTCCCACTTGTTCCCTTTTCATAGGTCTCCCTGCCCTTTGAGATCATGAGCAACTTCAGATTACCTCTCACCCTTAGAATACAATGCATCCATGGATGGAGCTTTGGAAAATGCTACTGTGTTTCTGATAAACTAAGTGCTTGTTAAGCTTTCACTTTAGCACAACTTTAATGTGGAAGTAATGACTCTTTCCAGCTGATATCAAGGTATTTCCCACACTTTGGGAAAGATGCAAAAACCACTTTCTATATGGCTCAGTGGTTTTATTACTGATGGAAGCATCCCATTAAATTTTCTTATCAGGCTGTAAGGAAAAAAGAAATTCATTATGTGAAGAGAGACAAGGTAAGGGTTTACTATATAATCAATCAATGGTAATACACCCTTGTTTCTCTTATCAGGTAAATTGCCCCTCAAATATTTTATAGTAACGGGAATTTCTCCAATCTCAACATAGAATCCTAAAAATATGCACACTCTGACATACCATTAATCCTAACATTTATCATCCCTTATGGTTAAACATTTATAAGGTTACATTCTCCTTAAACTTTCTTAAGCCTGTAAACAGCTACAATGAACAACAGGTAAGTTTATTATGGTTTTAGACAGCTCTGTGGAGTAATTAATGAAGCGTTTAGGTCGATGTTTTGCATTACTCAAACTTTCCAATTCCAAATTTGATAAAGAAATTTTCAACATGATTGATGTAATGGTTACTTCTCAGGTCAATGAAAATGAATGAGCACTGGGTTCAAGTCCAAGCCCAAGCAAGTCACTTATTTCTTAAGTCTCTATCTTCTAGTCCATTGGTCTGAGAGATCTGGCCTGAAGTTCCACTTTCAAGTATATTGGTCCATTCTCACATTGCTATAAAGAACTACCTGAGACTGGGTAGTTTATAAAGAAAAGAGGTTTAATTGACTCAAAGTTCTGCAGGATATATAGGAAACATGGCTGGGAGGCCTCAGGAAATGTACAATCATGGCAGAAGGGCAAACGGGAAGCAAGCACCTTTGTCACATGGCAGTAACAGAGAGAACAAAGGGGGAAGTGCTACACACTTTCAAACAACCAGATCTTGTGAGAACTCTATGTGGAGAACACTAAGGGGGAAGTTCGCCCCCATGATTCAATCACCTCCCACCAGGCCCCTCCCCTGATACGTGGGGTTACAAATTTACAGGAGATTTGGATGGGGACACAGAGCCAAACCATATCACATAGCTTGGGTTTACCTTGACCAAGGCTCAAAACAAGGTGATGCAGTTTCTTAAATTTTTCCTTTACTGCGCAGGTTAAAATTACATGTTAATTTCTTGAATGGTATTCCCACAAATTCCCTTACTTCCATTCCATTACTGATTATTTCCTGAGTCTCATCTGTCTCTCAGATTCTATATTCTTTTAACTAAAGGAACAAGGGTTTCTAAACAGAAGGTCATTTCAAGTTTCAATAATAATAATAAAAGTGGTAGGAAACTTTATCTGGACAATTTTATATGATCTTGCCAAATGGACAATGGCAAGATCATATAAAAAATAGAATTCTGACCCCAAAACTGTAGAAACGTGCCCAGGAAACCAATCCCTTATCTACAACAACTAGCCTGGGAAATCAGCCCACGATAAGTCAGACTTGCAGGGATTCAGAACACAGAAAACCAAACAATAATTTCTGCAACAATTTGCCCCAAATGGCCATGACTTAACTGAAAGCTGACAACTTCCCTAATTTTTGGCTCCACTGCTAACTTTAGCACCAACCAGAGAAAGCCAAATATGCTCCTCTAACCTATCGCGTAGGATGCTTGCTTCCAGTCAGCCTGCCTGCAGCTTCTTTGGGCCAACAGACTCCAATTAGGGTACATCAGAAGCCATCCCTTTCTCCACTACACAGCATTCCCATTTCTTTCCCTGCCTTTGAATCTCCGCTGAAATGAGTTACTCTGCAAGAAACTGAATAAATAGCCTTGATTTATTCTCTTTTGGTTTGTCTTTATTTATCACCACTGTGCGTATAAAAAAGGATACAGAGAGTGCACTCAGCTTCATCTAGATCCACAGTTGGGTCAATCTTTCTGCTTTCCTAGTTAATTATTAAGTTCTTGCTAGCTACTATTTAAAAACCTACACACTAAAACCTCCTACCTTTCCAAATGCCTAATGCCTATCTACTTTGAGCATATGACTTTACCCCATCTTCTCAGGGAAAACAAGCCCAATAAGAACTTGCTCCACATCTTCTCAGCATTCACGCCAGTATCTACAGCCTCATCCAGTCAATTCCTCCCTTCTTGTGGTTGTAATAGAAATGTAGACATCTCCTCTGTCCAGGGTTCTGGATCTCACTTCCCTTACTGTCTCACAGCTTTGATCTACAGATTATCATCACTCTCTCCTGTTCCTTCAAACAGTTCTCATCATCTTATTTATTTCTATGAACACTTAGATGTGTTCAAGGCTGTTCCATTTTACTCTCTCTCCCACTCCAAGTCCCTTTCAGTTATCAATCTCTCTCTCTTCCCCACTTCAGAGCCCAAACACTGGAATTACTTATCTACCCTTCAATTTCCATTCATTTCATAACCTGCTGCAGTGTAGGTTCCACCTCTATTACTGCACTAAAACTACTAAGATCATCAGTGACTTCATTTTCCCTCAGTGCAATGTGTATTCTCAGTGCCTACAACTGTGACTGATATGGAGTAGAGCCTCACTTCTCTGGATTTCCTAATTTTAAAAATAGTTCTGCATTGGCTTATAGCTTTACCTGAATTACGTCATCTATTACAACAACCTGATAAAGTAGGTATTATTAATGTGATTCATATTTGGAAACTGGAGCTCACAGAGGTTAAATCTCCCCCTGAAGGACAGACATCTGTTCTGCCACCTAAGATTCATCCTTGCTTCTTCCCTCTGAAATAATAATAGTATTAGATAGGAAAGTATCCTGAAAAATCCTTAGCAGATTTCCTGGTATAAGAAAAAGAGTTCAATATATGTTGAGTATTATCATTTTTCTACCACCTAAACCAGTGCCTGGCACATGAAATATACTCCATAAATACTGACTGATTAAATGTGCCCAGAGAGGTCATAACAGTGATGCCCAAATAATTATTTTTGCTGGTAACTGTGGCCTAGCTGGGGCTTTAAAGCAGGTAGGGGCATTTTTCCTAGATCTGAAGGCCTCTAGAGGGCTTTACCTCGTCATACTAACTGTAGGGAAGAATAAGAAAAAAATATTTTTACTTCCTCTTTCTCAAAAATGTTCACTCATCCATTTCTGAAAAGGTAAAATTATAGACAATGTTACTTGGTAATCCCTATCACCTTTTTCAGAAAAGGATTTGCCTTTATCTTATTATAGCAAATATTAGTTTGTAGGTGTGAATTGAGAGGGAGAGCAGTTAAGTCCTTTTTCCTATTACGTACATGTATAAATATTGAAATTCATGAGATTTAAATTTGAAAATCTGCTGCTTTACAAAAATGAAGTATAATTATAGAGTTGAACAGAACAAAAGGGGAAGTAAAAGCATAGATGCACTGATTTACTATCTTGCCTTCTCTCCCACTGGAATCAATTTATGCTGGAAAGAGGAGCTAAAGACAGCTGGAGGAACAATAGGTTGTTAACACAAATTATAAGGAAAGGAACTCCCTTTAATTTTTGGGAACTGAGCCAAGGGAGAAAATTGAAGTGAGATACTGTATTTATACTACACTATAACAGTACTCATGTAATTTTCTGAGCTCCTCAAAAATCTCTACTAAAATAAAAGCATTAGTATCTATTTCTCATTATGCCTAAATATTGGTAAATGCATAGGAAAAAATCCCCAGAAGGTAGCTGCCAGTTTGCCAACATATCCTATTAAAAACTTTTTTACCAACTAGGAGACATCTTTCCTTAGTGTAAGAACAGAGATACAACAGGATGCATGGACACTGCGTTACTTTAATGATGTTGCCTTTAAGAAAAGATAATTATGCTGGAATGCAAGATGCAAAAAGAGACTACATAGGAAACAAAGAGTTCACTAAGTGCAGACTCAGTTGGGTTTCTGGCTTGAAATGCAATACAAGTAAAATATTTGGCAAGAAACCTGTAAACTACATAAAAGAGGCTTAAAAATCAAATTTGGAAGTTAAAGAAAAAAATCACCCAGATAAACTATAAAATGCAGGTAACATAGATGGATGTGATATATTTCTGGTTGTCACAATGAGGTCATGAGGATATTCTGGCATTCTCATGAAGGCTAGCTCAGAGCACTCCCAACCAATGAGGTCCTCTATTACCAACAAAGAGCATGTTAAAATTCCAAACAACAGGGTTCTACATTTTATAACAGATGAAATATTGCTATTACATAGTCAGAACTCTGAGGACGGGCTCACCATTGGAAAATAGAAATGGAAGGGTTTCCTTAGTTCAAGTGAATATGTTAAAAGATGGGAAAAACAGGAAAGCTAAAGATCTGGAAGGTCAAAGTATCAAAATGTGCCAAATTCAATAACAAAAAGGGGCTTCAAAGCTATGCTGGAAGCAAAGGCGTTGATTTCTGCCTGAAGAAGATGCTGTGACATCAACTCCAGGACACTTACTTGGCACTCACATTCTCCATCACAGAAAATGATCTCACGTGTTGTACACTGGAAGTTGAACTCAAGATACGTGATATGATATTAAAGTTCTGTTTACTCGGCCAGGCACGGTGGCTCACATCTGTAATCCCAGCACTTTGGGAGGCTGAGGCGGGTGGATCATGAGGTCAGGAGTTCAAGACCATCCTGGCCAAGATTATGAAACCCCATCTCTACTAAAAACACACAAAAAATTAGCCGGGCATGGTGGCAGGTGCCTGTAATCCCAGCTACTCGGGAGGCTGAGGCAGAGAATTGCTTGAACCTGGGAGGCAGAGGTTGCAGTGAGCCAAGGAGGTTGCAGTGGGCCGAGATTGCACCACTGCACTCCAGCCTGGGTGACAGAGCAAGACTCCATCTCAAAAATAAATAAAGTTCTGTTTCCTCAACTCAGATTACTGAAAATAATTTCCAGCTATTACTCTCGAGTGATGATATGCCTTTCAGAGACTATTTTGTATATTACCAAGAATAACACGGTGAAGTATGGGCTAAATGATTATACAGACATATGAATTTTGAGATATCAAATACCTTTCCTAAAGAGTACTCGTTAGTGGCTCTTTGGAATGGCCTTGAATGGGGCAAGAGTCTGTCCTTAGACTACCTCATTCAACTACCTATCACTGTCTCGGAAGAACACCAGTAAAGTTAATCTGATCTTCAATAGAAAAACACTGGGGAGGGTCGGGGGTAGGGAGAGCATCAAGAAAAACAGCTAACGCATGCTGGGCTTCCTACCTAGGTGATGAGTTGATAGGTGCAGCAAACCACCATGGCACACATTTACCTATGTAACAAGCCTGCACATCCTGTACATGTACCCTGGAACTTAAAAAAAAAAAAGTACTAGGAGAGAGAAACTAAACAAAGAATCAAGATTCAAGTATTGTACACTTTAAAAGAAATAATTTTATGGTTTCTGAATTATGTCTTAATAAAGCTGTTATATATTTTTAAAAAGTAACAGGAGAATGTTTAACTGGAAAATGTAAAGCCTCATATATTTGAGTTAAAAAATGTACTGAGCAGAGAAAGCTTCCCTGTTGATAGGCTGAGGCCTGCAGTAGACTGTGGGCTCAGGAGCAGGTGACAGTCTGCTGGAGTCTTGGCTTCCTCAGCAGCAGCCTCCCCCTAGACCCTCAGTACCTGACATCATGTCTGCCACAAAGGAATGCATAGTAAATACCTGCTGAATAATTATGCTCCTTAAAAACAAAACAACAAAGAAAAGCCAAGAACACAAACTTAAACGTTATGAAATTAAAAATAGGAGTTTCTTCTCTAAGAAATCTAACATATATAGAGAAAAAAGACTGGACTAAACACCAAAATACTAGCAGTAGTTGTCTTTGGGTCAGAAGATTTTGGGCAAATTATGATCATTTAATTTCATATTTCTGTCTATTTTCCTGTGTGTTCCAATTTTGTAGGATAGAGAAAAGTATATCCTCTGTTACCCCTCATCCCTACCCCAAGTCTGTTTGAATGACAATGAGTATGCTGAAACATTGAGCTGCTTGAAAACTATTTTTATATATGTTACTTTGAATTATTTATATTTGTATGTCTTTTCTTTCCACTTGAACTGTAGATACTCAGATTGCAGCAGTGATATGTTATTATCCTTGTATATAGTCTGATGCTAAGGATGGCAGCAAATTCAACCACCTTCTCTTGCAAACGTTATTACAACTGAACCGGGAAAAAGACTAGAATTTTATCCACATGGCTGCTCTAATGTCATCCTAATATGATATAATTTCTCTAAGAAAAGGCACTTGACTCAAACTAAAACAAAAGTTAACACTGTGACTCAAAGTTTAGGCTAGATGACAATTCTGAAGATCTTTTTATTTCTTGGTGGTGAAGAAAAAAAAACACTCAGATATTACCTTTTTTTTCAGCGCATGGGATCGGCAGTAATTTATCTGACATTATCCCAATACTCCTGATGGAGGACTGTCATTTCAAGTTCTACTTCGCAGGAGGATTTTATCGCCCTCTCAATCAATGTTAGGAGTCATTAGAGCAATAACAGAGAAGAAAAATCAAGGCCACCTATTTAGGCAGGGTGCTTGCCACAAGGTAGTGAAACACAAACCCTAAGATCTTTATGTCTGTACAAACGTACAAGGGAGTTGGCCATTTAGCTCCCATAGTTGTGGGGAGCACTAGGCCAGACTGCCTGGATGGGGCAATTCCCTGGGGCCTCAGAAATTAGTATTGGTAACAGCTTATATTTCTACCACTTCTCATGAAAGAAACCCAGAAATTAGCAACTACCCTTGAATACCCTGTAGAAGTTTGCAGGCTTGTCTAGAAAGGCATTAAAAATAATCACAAAATAACACAAATCCACAACCAAGCAATCAACCCTATTCACTTTCCAAGCCCCATTTCATCTCTCTAATTTTTCCATTATTTAAGACCGCAGCCAGAAAAACTTCAGTGGGAGAAGGAGAGGTGAATCCAATGCAACATGAACCAAATCTCTATCATCTTCGTGTCACCAACAGAAATGTTTTAGCTAAACAAATTTGATCGTTTGTGATATGTGCACAAATTGATTTAGATTATCTTGACAAGTCCAGTTAGTCCATCCAACCAAATCAACTCAGAAAAAGGAATCTAAGGAGTCAAAATAGATAATTCAAATCAGGTTGCATGCACAGGCACAGCCACAATGCATCTTAGCCCAAATGACCTGAATCTCATTACTAATAATTCTTAATTATTCAGTACTGAAAATACAAAATGTTTAGTCAGAACATGGTTTGGGATTTAAAAACAGAGAAAAATAAGTGAATACCAATTTTTGGTATGTGGAGCTGAGCTACAGAAAGCTATAACAAATTAATTTGAATAATTATCAATAAATTTAAGAAAGTAAATGTGCCCTAAAATTCTTTCAGATAATTTGTTTATCCAAATAGTTTAAATGACCTATTGTTTATCCTGCTATACAAATCCTTTTTCTTTAGATAATATAAGATTTAATGAATAAACACACATTACAAGTTAGTGACATTTACATAAAGAATCATTAATCATACCACCTTCAAATATATTTGCATAAATATTAGCAGTTACCAAGTCCTTTATCATGTACGGCCTCCATGACTTAGTCTAGATGAGAATACCACCTTTTGCAATTATGGGTAATACATTCTTTTTCAATCTACTTTTGAATTTGAGGATTGGAACCAAAGTTTATCGTAAGCAACGGTGACTTACTCAAGTTTGTCTATACATCTGACTGTCACATATGTAATCTTCCCAATTTTTTTTCTTGCCTCTGGCTATTCTAGTCTTTCCCTAAAACCTACTAAAAGTTACTCATTTTAAAGCAATTGCTATTTACTGTGTACTACTAACTGCTTTCTGTGAAAAATGTGTATTCTTGGATGTTGAAATACAGGGAGAAGAGATGCTCCACCAATAGCTTTGTAAACTTTTCCCATTAAAGTAGTATTCCACAACATGCATTCAAATGTCACCACGAATACTGATGATCCTGTAAAGTGGCACTGTCTTTCAAGAGACAAGATTGATGAGGATAGAAAGAACCAGATAAAGAAGTCTTTGAATTCTAGACTATTAAGCAGTAGAGAGTCACTGCATAACATTTTTATAAGGAGTGGTTGGATTAAACAATATTTTGGGAATATTCAACAAATATGATACAGCATACTAGTAGGAATTGAAATAAAATGCTTTTTGCATCGAGCATTCAATAGGCTGTTGCCCTACTAAGATGATAACTACTAATCCTTTGCTAGTGAAAACCCAGACTTTAAATTTTTTTTTTGAAAGCATTTAACTATTTATGTTGGTTGATGAAGTCAACTGCTCAAGTGAGACTGATACCTTGGAAATGTCTAGCTGGTGTTAATGGTTCAGTTTGGGAGCTCTTGGTTGGGAAAGCACTGAGCTCAGCTCTTGTGACTAAGATAGCTTGATTCACTCATGTCTCCAACAAATATTTTCAAATATCTACAGCTATATGTGAAAGCTGACAAATTTAAGAAAAGAATAAAAGTAATGTGGTTTCCACAAGTTGATCACTTTTTGAGTATAAAAATTAGGGAATGGAGTGTAGAGGGTAAAAGCTAGAATATCCATTCCTTCGGTTGAGATTTCTGATGCATTATTATTGAAGTTTATTGAAGACCTAGAGTTTCAAGAATTTCACTTAAATAAGAATATCAATTTAACTATATTATCCTTCTTTCGTGGAGGCTTTCTTAGGTACAACGTTAGGTCCAATTTCTCAGGAGTTCTCTTTGTGAGCAGCGTGTACTCCTCTGTCTCTTGATGTGGGGCCGGCCATATGACTGATTTGGGTATATGACCAAAGAGGATAGATTGCCAGGTCAGAAGCCAGGCCTTTGGGGACTTTGTATGTTTCTGCTTGCTGTCTTAAGTGTTTGCCACTGCCTTGAGAAGAAGTTAGCTCCAAGTCCAAACAGAGACTTAAAGAGCATGGCCAGTCAGACACCCAAACATCTATTTTAAGAGGCAGAGCAATGACGCACCAGGTGCTGTGTACAGAAGTTCAGCTTTAGATGAACCAAATCTTACCTGCACTGCCCTGCAGTCAAGTAAATGACTGTTATGGACCACAGAGCTTTGAGGAAGTATGAAACACAGTATCTTTGTAGCAACAGCTAATGGATACAGTGGCAAAACAGGGATTAGAACTGAGGCTTGGAGGCTCTTATTTGAATGTAGATTTTATCTATCACTTTTTTTTCCTGTTGCACTAGGCATGACACCGTCATATGTAGAACTTAATCTGTTCTATTTTTGTGCCCTTTCCATTGCCTTTTTCAGTAACCTTTTAACTACCTTGCCTTTCCATTTTTTGTTTTGTTTTGTTTTTCTTCTTTGTTTTTTTGAGACAGAGTTTTGGCCTGTTGCCCAGGCTACAGTCCAGTGGCACAGTCTCGGCTCACTGCTGGGCTCAAGTGATCCTCCCACCTCAGCCTCCGGGGTAGCTGGGACTATAGGTGTGCACCACCACACCCAGCTAATTTTTGTAGAGATGGAGTTTTGCCATGTTGTCCAGGCTGGTCTTGAACTCCTGAGCTCAAGTGATCCAACTGTCTTGGCCTCCCAAAGTGCTGGGATTACAGGCGTGAGCCACTGTGCCTGGCCTGTTTTGTTAATATGTATGTATTTCCCTGTGCTTTGGAACCAATTTTTCCACTTTACTGACATTTTGTTTTCTTTCCTTGGAAACTTAAGTCTTTCAAATAATGGCCAGTTTCTCTAACATTTCTTTCCACCTTAAGATCCTTACAGACTTTGAAAAGAAAAAAAAAATACACTCATAATAATCATTCTTATTATCTTATTATCATTTTTACCTTAGTTTAATCTTATCCAAACTAGGTCGTGACAATTTAGGGAATACTTCCGAAGACTTGCTCTGGTATTTTATTTTTTAAAGAGAAGTCCATATATTGGAATGCATGAACAAGAAATGCAAAGTTAGAAACATATCCCATGAAGCACTGTGAACACTCTGACAGCTGCAATTTATCAACATAAATTACTGTGCTTAGCTGCAAAGCTTTTGTCACAGGGAGACAGGGCACTTCCTAAATGGCTTGCTGCCCTCTTTAATAATAATCTTAGTTTTTACAATCCAGACAACCTAGGGCAAGAGACAGCCTGATGCACATAGAAACAGAAAAATTCAGGTTTTTATGTACATCACCGGGAGCACTGACATGCTACTCTATTCATTTTTAGATTAGAGTCTTTTCCCCCTTCTGTCTACATGTGGCAATAGATGACTTAGAAAAGAAAATGTGGGCAGGAGAGCCAGGATAGGAAGCTTAGCAGTAAACAAGTCAGCCTGTCTGCTGTCTCACTTTCCTTTTAATCAAGGAAAAGGCCTAACAGAATTCACTGTCATCGTCTTAGTGGTGGCTTCTAACAGCACTGGATAGGGAGAATCCTTTTATTTCCAGCATCACATGAACAAATTGATTTTTAAATTCATGCATCTAACATGTGTTCCTAAAGCCATTACCATTTAGTAAACAGCATAACTAAATGTCTTTAAACTACTTTAGACATTTTAAGCACTAATTTTTCTCATTTTAAAAAAGTTTCAATCTGTGTGTTAGAGATATTCGAGATATGCTACTACATAAAGTTTTGTACCTATTCATGAAAATCTAATTTTGGGGGGATGTGGTTGAATTCTGTATCTCAATATTGGACTTTTCTAATACGGTGGATGAGCTGAAACCTGTTCCCTGGTCCCCTTAACTCCAAAGCCTCTGCTCACTCTACTGTACATGCTGCCTTTACAGAAAGCCCCTGTCCGTAAGCTCCATTTTAAGAAAAGGAGTTTTAAGACTGCTATCCATAATGCCAAATTTCTAAGCTGCTTTCTTCTAGTATTGGAAAAACAGAAACGTCTAGTTTAGCCATTATAATCAGGAATCAATAACATGCATATCTGCTAATTTCCCTGCCTTTATGGTCTGTGCTCCTATCCAAAAAGGGTTGTAAAGGCAAGAACAAAGTTACCTATAGTCTCTCTCTCTTTTTGAGTACTTTCAAATTCATCATTTGTCAACAGATGTACTGCAGTCCCTAGCTTCAGTACAACAGGACACCAGTAAAGTCACCTGTGGTACACAGAATAAGAGCTGCCCAAAGATGTCTACCTTCTAATCCCTGGAACCCGTGAATATATATGTTACATGGCACATGGGGAATTAAGGTTGCAGATGAAATTAAGTTTCCTAATCAGCTGACCTTAAAATAGGGAGAGTATCCTGGACTATCCAGGTGGGCCCAATGTAATCAGAAGGGTCCTTAAAAGTCAAAGAGGGAGGCAGAAGAGGAAGTGAGAGTGATGTAATATGACAAATACTTGGCCCAACATTGCTGGCTTCCAAGATAGAGGAGAAGAACCAAAAGCCAAGAAATGTGGGTGGCCTAGAGGCTGGAAAACGCTGGGAAACAGATTGTCCCCTAGAGCCTCCAGAAAGGATCAAAGGTCTGCTGACATCTTGTTTTAGCCCAGCAAGACCCATTTCAGACTTCTGAACTACAGAACTGTAGGAGGAGAAATTTGTGTTGTTTTAAGCCACTAAGTTTGTGGTAATTTGTTGTAGCAGCCACAGGAAACGAATACATCATTTATTTTTAAGACAGGTTACCAGGAAGGCTATCTACATTACAGATAACTGGGAGACAATTTGACAAATATTTGACAAATTATCAGAAATGTTTTTGTTGTTTAATGGCAAAAGTAAAAGAATAATATGCTTTTGTTTTCTTTTAATTTATTTTTCCTTGCTGAATTGTGTCCTTTAATTTATAACTACAATTGCTTTGGCTGTTATTTGGCACTCCAAATGGATCAGAAGTAAATTGAGACTGATAAATAATTTTTGTAATTAAATACAATATTATAGCAAAGAAGAATTTAAAATATAAACAGCATCTTACTTCAATAAAAATGTGTTATAAAAGAATAGAAAATCACAAGTAACTAAATAAAAAAATAAATAAATTTGACTTTATCACAAGTAAAAACTTCTGTGCATCAAAGGACAATATCAAATATGTGAAAAGACAGTCCACATTAAAAAATTTTGAAATCATATGTCTGATAAAGGTCTAGTATCTAGAACATACAAAGAACTCTTGGAAGCCAACAATACAAAAGGCAAATAACCTACTTTTAAAAAGGGCAAAGAATATGGGTAGGTATTTTTCCAAAAAACCTCAAAACAATTGACCAATAAGCACGTGAAAAGACGCTCAACATCATTAATCATTAGGGAAGTGCAAATCAAAACCACTATGAGATACTAATTCACACTCATTATGATGGCTATTTAAAAAAAAGGAAAATGGTGAGGATGTAGAGAAAATGGAACTATAATACATAACTAGTGGGAATGTAAAATGACACAGCCCCTGTGGAGAACAATTTGGCAATTCCTTGAAAAGTTAAATATAGAATTTCCATATGACCCCGCAATTCCACTCCTAGGTATACACCTAAGAGCACTGAAAACATGCTCATGCAAAAACCTGTACACAAATGTTCCTAGCAGAATTATTCGTAATAGCCAAAGAGTGAAAACACCACCAATGTCCATAAATTGATACATGAATAGACAAAGTGTAGTATGTCTATACAATGGAATATTATACAGCCAGAAAAAGGAATGCATAGGTGAACCTTGAAAATTTTATGCTAAGTGGCAACAGCCAGACACAAAAGGCCACATATTCCATTTGTATGATATGTTCAGAATAGTCAAATCCATAGAGACAGAAAAATTATTTCATTGACACATAAATGAGGGATATGAAATCTATTCACAATAGGAACTCATGGTAGGTATCATTTATATAGCTGAGAAAGCTCTCAGGCAATCACACACAGGAAAATGTGTCAAAAATATCTGCAGAAAATGTTATGTGAATGTCTTCATACATCCATTATATCCTTATTCCTCCCTCTGTTCCAAATTTGAGCTTTACTGAATAGAGTGTGAGCACCTGCAGGCAGGGGCTAAATCTTATTTATCTTTGCATTCTCAGTGCTGAACATAATAGGCACACAATAAATTTGTTCTATAATGGGATGAAGAGATCAAAGCAAAGAGTAATGGCCCTCAGTAATGGCTCCTGACAATAAGAAAGCCCTTGTAGTTAGGAAATATTCTTAAATCCCTCAAATGCTTATTTAAGATACAGAGAGTGAAGTATTACCTTATGTAGGAATGTTCAGTGACCAAAATGGGAAAATTACAAATATCTGTTGCTTTAAATTCTTTAATTTTTGGCAAATTGAATATTATGCACTTTTTGTATTTTTATTATAAATAATTTGTTTCAGTACTATGACTTATTTCAGTATAAATGAAATAAGTTGAGGAGGGTTATTTAAAATGGTAAACATTTAACCATCTAATGGTTAATTAAAATGAGGAATTCAAGTTTGAACATAACCATTAAAGTCTTTTTTTTTTTTTTTTTTTTTGACAGAGTCTCGCTCTGTCACCAGGCTGGAGTGCAGTGGTGCGATCTTGGCTCACTGCAACCTCTGCCTCCCAGGTTCAAGTGATTCTCCTGCCTCAGCCTCCTGAGTAGCTTGGATGACAGGCAGGTACCACCATGCCTGGCCAAGTTTTGTATTTTTAGTAGAGACGGGATTTCAGCATGTTGGTCAGGCTGGTCTCGAACTCCTGACCTCGTGATCTACCTGCCTCGGCCTCCCAAAGTGCTGGGATTACAGGCATGAGCCACTGCGCCTGGCCCCATTAAAGTCTTTTAATTCAATGAAGGGTTCACTCAGCCTTATTTGAAAACATATTTGCTTACAGATAATTCTATTGTAATATTTTAATCCTCCAATATGTGCTTATAAGGAAATTACAAAATAACAATACATCATTTTAATTTTATCTTTACTAAAAGTAATGTAGAGATTAAGGCCTTCTGCTTCTCTGTCAAAAAATAAAAAAGATCAAACAATACCGGCTGTGATAAGCATACAACTTGTGATTATATTGTGCTAATAGGTCCAAGGATCTATGGAGATAAAATCTGATTAATATATTTATCATCTTTTTATGTTTGTTTTATAAAAGAGGATTCATGTTTCTATTTCATAAAGAGACATTTAACTTCTTCATCGGGTCATTCTAAAGTTACCTTTAAAACCTAAGAAGCACCTTCTACCTCTTAACCAAAGAAAAGTCAAATATACGCAGAATACAGAGGGATACAGAACCAGCTAAGTGTCGCAAAGTCACAAGCCTTCTTTCCCCCAGGAAAATAAAGATCAGAATGCTATGCTAGAGTACATGTTCAGGTTTTTGAAAGGGATGTAAGGATATGCAGGTAATGAGCAAGGCCTCATTTCTTTTCTGCATATATATTAGCATGGATTTTAGCCTATTTATATAAAAAAGTCAGAAATATAAAGCAGAGGAGTTTTTACTGGAACTATGATGACTCCATGTTTCGTATTTGATTTTCTCTGCTGTTCACATATGTTTTCTTGATTCCTTGAGAATTGTCTTTTTAAAAAATTTGTGAGTGTATCATTTACATGAACTAAATGACCAACACTACTTGCCCTGCCTAATAAGGAGTAATCTCTGATTCACTCAGGATACGTGGAGGCCTTAAAGTTTGGGAGTCCTTAATTGCGTTTATGGCTATATCTTGCTATTTGGCACCTGAGTGTGTTTATCACACTGTCTTACGTATGGTAGGTGCTTAACCAATCATGACTAGTTTTAGATATGTTTACTTGGTGTCCCAAATAGATTCTAAGTACCTTGAGTGCAGACATTATGTATTACATGTTTTTAGAGTATTTCACAACCTTTAGCTTGGTGCTGAGCACATGGGAGGTGCCAGTTAGCCAAGGTAGTGTAGACCCTTCTTTTCATTCTTGTTATGAGAAGAGTATAGATGATATTGGGACTCCTTAACTCCTTACCCATTTACCAAGACACATACACATGCGCACGTGTGCGTGTGCACACACAATCTGTATTTGATGAAGCAGATGCAGATTAATGGAGACACATTTGATCACAGGGAGTTTTATTTTTACTCTCTGTGTCATCAGCAGTTTTTGCATATTACCTCTAGAAAATGTTCAGAAAAGTTGTACTGGTAAATAGAATTCCAATTCTTTGTGATGGAAAAAGTACTTGAGCAATAGCGAGCCTATGGAGACAGCTAAATCAGCAGCTGGCAGGGCCCTCTCTCCATTCTCCCCTCTACGGATCAGCAGTCCTTGGTATTCAGAAAGTAGATTGTAAGCAAATATTTTTTTCTAGTGAGGCCGGAAGATTTACTGTGTAGTATTTTACAGAAAATATAAAGTCTTTGATAAAATGTAAAAGTCAGTTGTTGAGATAAAATATGACTACAATGAAGACCACTATAAATTTGAGTAGATTTTTCAAAGTAGCATTATAATTAAGACCTAATTTCTCTCTCCTAGCAGTGTAGAAGGTGGAGAGGAAAGAGTATTATGTGACAGGTAAGGAAACGGAGGCAGATAAAGTCTACATGATTTACTATTGATTGGGAGCCAGAAGCCAGAACTCAGGATTCCTGGCTAAATCAATCAAAAAATTATTAATGACTTCTACTACTTATAAGATATTATACTAAAACTTTCTTTTTGAGATAACTGTAGAAGAGTTAAAAAGACAATATATAAAGATGTGGTAAGTTAAATTACAACAGAAGCATTATAGATTTCCAAAGTAAATGATACCTATACCAAAGGGGGAAAAAAGAACAGAAAAAAGACACCTCAGGAGATTGTTTTGGGCTGTGGTGTTTTGTAGATAGTAATTTCCCACTCTAAGTTTTTTCTCCTTCCATATTGAACACTGGGACTGGAAGATAAAACCATATTGATTTTCTGTCCTTCACCATCTTGCCCAAACTTCTGTTTTTTAATCTTTCTTTTAGATATTGGAGGAAAACGTTTGTTGTTTCTCATCTAGAGTTAATCCCTTTTCTTACGTTCCATGGCTCCTCATTGCCCATTTATTCTATGCCCTTACTCCTCAGAGTGCAATCTGTGAGCCAGCAGCAGCAGCATCCCTGGGGAGCTTGTTAGAAAGGCAGGATCTCAGTCCTCACCACAGCTCTAGAGAGGAGAATCTGCATTTTAACAAGACACATTCCAGTGGGAGACCTGCTGATCTCGGCCATTCTTTCAAAAATCAGCCCCTCCATTTCTAGCACCATTAGTCTCTCTTTTTCCCTCACTATCTCCTTTTCCCTTCTTGAACAATCCAGGGGTCTTTATTAAGAAACAAACCAAGAAACATCCCTCCCTACTCCCCATCTCCAATGACTGATATCCCTTTCAGCTTTCAGAGCACCTCACTTCTGTTTCTGTGGTTACCACGTTCCTGGAATGAATTTTATGCCCCTGCTCTCTTTATTTTTAATTCAGTCAGTTTCTTCTTAAAACTTGGAAACTTTCACTCTGAAGCAGTTTGAACACATAGGCCACATGAACTCACACACGTGCACGTAGAGGCACACACATGGGTGCACCCACATGCACACACACACGTGCACGTAGAGGCACACACATGGGTGCACCCACATGCACACACACACGTGCACGTGGAGGCACACACATGGGTGCACCCACATGCACACACACACGTGCACGTGGAGGCACACACATGGGTGCACCCACATGCACACACACACGTGCACGTGGAGGCACACACATGGGTGCACCCACATGCACACACACACGTGCACGTGGAGGCACACACATGGGTGCACCCACATGCACACACACACGTGCACGTGGAGGCACACACATGGGTGCACCCACATGCACACACACACGTGCACGTGGAGGCACACACATGGGTGCACCCACATGCACACACACAGATGCAGATGATTAACTCTGATGAGGTTAGATCAACTTTTAAAATGACCATAGTTCCTATACTGATGGGAACATTAATTATCTGAGCCACATTTGGTTCCTGATGATTTTGGTGTGCCCACTCCTATCATGAATCTATTCAGGATCATCTACTTGTCTGTGATCCTGCTTAGGTGGCTGGACTGACCTACACCAGGCCAAATTTACTGAATGCCCCTGCGGTACAACTGTCCCAATCTTGAAAGGGAAATCTTGTATCTCTGCATAAATATCCCAGCAGTATACACAGATGCAGGTTCACGAAAGTGAAACAAAATGAGACCTTGTACTTAAGGCCTATCTAAGTTAGGTTTTCTTCCTGAATCCTTCTGCTGGGTAAATCCTAGACGACAGAGGTCCATCTGTAGTCTTGTGTTAGACGTGAAGAAAAGGAGGAGGTTGCCAATAGATTCCCCACCATCAAGTGTCATAGGAAAAAGCTTATACCAATGAGGAACCAAAAAATAAAAACAATCTTCTTCTTAATTCCAATGACTTTCTGAAGTCATTTCATACAACAAGGTTGGAAGGTTGAGATGTTTTAAAATTTACTGGGTACCATCACCCACTCACCTTCTACGGGTTTTGAGCAATCTGCTCACTAGTGATTGGATGTTGTGTTATTCATCAGGCCTGGCTCTTATGAAGAAAAATGAAGAGCATAAAAGAAAAGAACCACCACAGTGAAAATGGGGCTGTGCTGAAAGGTTAATGTGCTCTTCAGCCTAGGACTTCAGACAGAACACGGAGCGGCCACACAATCTGTTTATCTGATGCATGCAGACAGTACTGTCATGCTTCACCTTTGGAAATGGGCCATTACTTCTGGTGACAGATTATGAATTGTGGAATATGGCTGGCACGTGGCCAGACAATGGAGAGTTCATAAATCAGACTCAAAATGGAAATACCTGAGTAAAATTCTTGAGTTATTTGAGGGGTTGGAAAAGGATATGTAATGAGAGAATTCGTTAAACCCATGTGCGTGGATGTGTAGGTGGGCACGCTGTGTATGTGTATGTGTGTATGGGGCAGGTGTTGATTTTTAAAAGTCCTTTGTTAAGGTTCTACAAAGAAGTATTTTTTGTTTTGTTATTTTCTGGTTGGCTGAAGAATTTTGCTTCAGCATGGAATAGAGTGGTAGTTGGGGATCAGGGTAAAGGATGGTTGGGATAAAGATTTTGGTTTTTAACAGGAAATTGGTTTGAGCCTTCCAAAAAAAAGAGAGAATCAATCAACTCTGAACAAAAGGAGTAAATAGTTGGTCTACAGGGATTAATGTTTCTTTATTTTACAAATAATCTGAAAAACAGGCCCATAGATCTGGAAAACAGCCACAACTGCGTAGATAATACTACACAAATTGGTAAACGGATGAGAGTAAATTAAAATACAGGTTTATAAGCATGTGAAAATAGCCAGAAAAATATCAACTAAAATAAAGTGTTGATGCATAAATGCCCTTGAGGAAAAATAACCTAAACTCCTTGTAAGAAGACGGGCTCTAAAGTTTTGTTTTGTGATGAAGGAATGAAACCTAAAAGTGATTTTTAAAACTACTATCTGAAAATATGCTCCAATGTGTCCCCAAAGACCAGCACAGGTAGGTAATCCTCTAGAAAGGTACTAGTAACACACAAAAGGTAGGATTCCAATATTGGCAACTCATGCTAGGTTGATTAAGTGCTTATGACCAAGGAGTTGAGAGTGGTTGTTTAGTTTTCCTCGTACTCAACCTCAGACAACAGCCATCAGGCTGAGGGTAATTCTTCATCAGGATAGGACCACAAGAGCTTGTTCTTTCTTGAGAAGAAAAACAAGGATAGGTAAATATATAGATCATTACTATAATGTCACCAGCAAATTTTTAAGTAGTTCTATTTGAAAAAAAAATCACTATTTAGGCATTTAAAAAATGTAATATATAATACCATGTACAAAAAGTAGAGAAAACTTTTATAAGAATAAAAGCTATAATCAAGACTTTTAGTACCATCTCTAATTATATACTTAGTACCACCTCTAATATTATACTTTGTACCATCTCTAATAATATATACTCTGTTTATCTAAAGGCTACCTCATGGATTTTTAGAGTTCTGATAAATGTATCAATTATTTTCAGCTACGAAGTACTATCCTTTTTTTTTTTTTTTTTCTGTTTATTACGAATATCAACGACTTAAGTTCTCTGGCCAAATTAGTTTCTCCAGTGTGGAACTAACTTCTATAGAAACCCTCTAGTCTTTTTGTACAGTTGTGACATTGACTAACATTTTTACATCAGTGGCCAGACTAATCCTCAGGCCTGGAGTCCCACATTTTAGGCCACCAGCAAACTCCCTGTCAGGTGCTGCCTTTGCTTGTTGCTGGCAGGAGAGTCCAGTGCAACCGGTAGGAAAAGATCCTTCATTAGCAGGTGCTAAAATGACGGGAAGCCCCTTACAGAGATAACACATCCTACCTTTCTACTTTCTTTTTCTGCTTAAAATGTGCCTTCAATCTTCCTTTTAAATGGATTTCCTCAGTTTAGAGATGTGTAATACGAAGGCATGCATCTTACCTATGTGGCTTCTGATCCCTCTGGGCACCTGTGTCTGGATACAGACCTGTGCCCACCTGCATCCCAACCCCTGACGAGGCACATCTCTGCTGGTGGGGGCCTGTGTCAACCCTGAACAGCTCCCCAAGGAAGCTGCTTTTCTGGGTGTCTGTCTAGCCAGCTAACCTATCATGTTCATTTTTCTGGCCCTTAGTTAAAAATGCTCTATTAGGCAGGGCACAGTAAGTCACACCTGTAATCCCAGAACTTTAGGAGACAGGCAGGTGGATCACTTGAAACCAGGAGTTCGAGACCAGCCTGGCCAACATGGCAAAACCCTGTCTCTACTAAAAATACAAAAAATTAGGCGTGGTGGCACCTGCCTGTAATCCCAGCTACTTGGAAGACAGAGGCACCAGAATTGCTTGAACTCAGGAAGTGGAGGTTTCAGTGAGCCAAGATCACACCACCGTACTCCAGCCTGGGTAGCAGAGTGAAACTCTGTCTCAAACAAAACAAAACAAAACAAAACAAAAAAAAACAAAAAAACAAAACTGCTTTATTATCCAAGTGTTAAAAAAAGGTATAGGCTTTCTTTGTCAAGATACTTTCTCGAAGTCAAAGTCTTTTATCAGTCTTCTACTGTTTTTCAGTAGGGTCCCGGTTTATTCCTCTGTCAGGAGCAATATACATTCCAGTATCACACACACCAAAACTTTAAATACGTTGGTCAATTTTAGGTTATATACATTATCTATGTGAAGTGAATAATGTGCATTTTTTCTATGTTTCATTGCACCTGGTACAAGTTTAAAGCATAATAATACATTTCCAGGCCGGGCGTGGTGGCTCATGCCTGTAATCCCAGCACTTTGGGAGGCCGAGGTGGGCCGATCACGAGGTCAGGAGATTGAGACCATCCTGGCTAACACGGTGAAACCCAGTCTCTACTTAAAAAAAAAAAAAAAAAAAAAAAAATTAGCCGGGCGCGATGATGGGCGCCTGTAGTCCCAGCTACCTGGGAGGCTGAGGCTGGAGAATGGCGTGAACCCGGGAGACGGAGCTTGCAGTGAGCCGGGATTGCGCCACTGCACTCCAGCCTGGGCGACAGAGCGAGACTACGTCTCGAAAATAATAATAATAATACATTTCGGGCTACTTTGTATTTATTCTGTTGAAAGAGAATGTTAACAGTCTGTCTTGCCCTGATTTTTCATTCTGATATTATTTCACTATTTCCTTCTAACATGTCTCCAAAAGAAATTACTGCCAGACATGTGTCTTAGAGAAATAGTGATTCAATAATTATCAGTAAATTGCCAGATAATCTTTAAACTAGCCAGGAGTATTACAAGCAATATTTATGCTAAAAATCAATTTCCCTACCTCAGAAGAATAATTGTATTTTAAGGTTTCTGATGGAAACCAGTCTTTGAACATCCAAGCATTAGACCCAGTTCCTTACCCTCTGCATAAGGCATCCTGTTAGGGGCTCTAAAGAAAATCCTCAAGAGGTATGAAATTTATATAGAAGGTGACACAAGCTTAACTTCATAGTAAGTTTAACTGCATTCAATAAGTAATTCAATATAAATATATAAAGAATGGTAGGAGTTAGCATGCTTTCCAAATGAATTATAGAAAGAATAATTGCTACAAAATTTACTACACTGGCACTGTATAGAAAAGTTGGATGTAGAAAGAGAGATAAAAGTTGCCTTTCAAATAAATGGGTAGCCTTTGATTAAGAAGTAAGGAGGAAAGCATTTTGAGTACAAAAGCTCCATTTGTTAATTCCTCTAAATCTTCAACAAACAGAGTACAAAGACAGAGAAAATGCTCTTCAATTACTTTTTTTGATGTGAGCTAATACAGCATTAATAACAAAGCCTGTAAAACCTGGTTATTTAAGATAACTTTAATAAATACGAAGTAACTGGTGATAAATTTGACAAAAGATGTGCAGGAGCTATAAACTAAGAATTATAAAACATCGCTGAAAGAAATTAAGTCCCAGGGAAATGGAACAATATTGTGTTCATGGGCCAGAAGATTCAATATTGTGAAAAAGATCAAAACTAGAGGATTTACACTATCTGATGTCAAGACTTATTATAAAGCTACAGTAACCAAGACGCCGTGGTATTAGGATATGAATAGTCATACAACAATGGCACAGAAAGTCTAGAAATACACATACACATATATGAACAATTTTAACAAAAATTTCAAGGCAATTCGGTAGGCAAGGGAAAAAATTTCAACAAATGCTGTTGCAACTATAATATATCCACATGCAAAAACATGGACTTCAAACCTTAACTCATCATTTATAAAAATAAATTCAAGATGTATCATGGATCTACATGTAAGAGCAAAAACTATAACATTTCCAGAAGAAACATAAGAAAAAAAGGGCTGGCCACAGTGGCTCAAGCCTGTAATCTCAGCACTTTGAGAGGCTGAGGCAAGAGGATTGCTTGAGTCCAGAAGTTTGAGACCAGCTTGGGCAACACAGTGAGAACCCATCTCTTAAAAAAAAAAAAAAAAAAAAGTAAAAATACATAAAAAAGGAATATACAAGATGATGTTTTAGAGACCTTGTGTTAGACAAAGATTTCTGAAATAACACACAAAAAGCATGAATTATGAAAGAAGAAAGTCAGCAAATTAAATTTGATCAAAATTGAAACCTTTTGCTCTTTAAAGGAAACTATTAAGAAAATGAAAAGGTAGCCTGGGAAAAATATTTGCAAAACATATTTTAAAAGGCACTTGTATCCAGAGTATATAAAGAACTCTTACAACTCATCAACAATCCAATAAAAATGGGCAAAATATTTGAACCATGGTTTTTCAACTATGCTATCAGAGACACTGGGGATGGATAATTTTTTCATTGTGGGGAGGCTGTCCTGTGAACTGCAGGTTGTTTAGCAGCCTCCCAACATCCACCCAGAGATGCCAGTAGGATCTGAAGTAGTGACATCAAAAAATGCCTTGAGATATTTGCCAAAGGTCCCATGGGAAGCAAAATTGCCTCAGATGAGAACTACTGATTTGGATAACATGTTAATCAGAGAGGAGGTACAGATGACAAACCTACAGAACCTATGATAATCAACTAGAAACTATGGAAAACAACACAGTTTGATAAAGTTATTTAATATGCAAATATTAGCAAGATGAAAATGCAATACTGTTTTTATGCCTGTACTGTGCCGTTTAAATTACTAGAGCTTTGTAGTAAATGTTTTCAAATCAGTAATTGTGATGCCTCTAGCTTTGTTCTTTTTGCTCAACATTATTTTGGTTATTCAGGGTCTTTTGTGGTTCCATATGAATTTTAGGAATGTTTTTTCTATTTCTGTGGGAAAAAAAAGTCATTGCATTTCGATAGGGACTGCATTGTTTCTGTAGATTGCTTTGGGTGGGATGGACCTTTTAGCAATATTAATTCTTCCAATACGTTAACATGAATATCTTTCCATTTATTTGTGTTGTATCCAATTTCTTTAATCAGTGTCTTATATTTTTCAGTGTATAGATCTTTCCTCCTTGGTTAAATTTGTTCCTAAATATTTTATTATTTTTTTGTAGCTATTGTAAATGGGATTGTTTCCTTGATTTCTTTTTCAAACACTTTGTTATTAGGGTGCAGAAATGCTACTGATTTTCATATGTTGATTTTGTATCCTGCAACTTTACTGAATTCATTTATTTTAACAGTTTTTTGGAGGAGTTTTTATGTTTTCTATTTATAAAAAACATAAAACATTAAATTGTCTATACAGATGACATGGTCTTATAATGAGATCAATTTAATTTCAGAGACAATTTAATTTCTTCTCTTCTGATTTGGATGTCATTTATTTCATTCTCTTGCCTAACTACACTGGCTAGGACTTCCAGTACTATGCTGAACAGAAGTGTTAAGAGTGGGCAACCTTGTATTGTTCCTGATCTTAGAGGAAGCTTTTAGCTTTTCACCACTGAGTATGATGTTAGTTGTGGGTTTTTCATATATGGCCTTTATTGTGTTGAGGTACATACTTTCTATACCTAATTTGTTGAGAGTTTTTATAATGAAAGGATGTCAAATTTTGTGAAATACCTTTTCTGCATCTATTGACAGGATTACATGGTTTTTGTCCTTCATTCTGTTAATGTGGCATATCATAATTACTGATTTACTTAGCTTGAATTATCTTTGCATCCCAGGGATAGATCCCACTTGATCATGGTGAATAATCCTTTTAATGTGCTGGTGAAATCAGTTTGCTATGTTTTTTCATGGAGGATTTTTGTATCTATGCTCATTGGTGATATTGGCCTGTAGTTTTCTTTTCTTGAAGTGTCCTTATCTGGCTTTGGTATCAATGTATTACATGTTTCATTTATTTAAGTTAAATAAAAGGACTAGAAACAAAAACAAGAAATTGCTAACTCTGAATGATAGAAATATAAATGAGAACTATATTATTTTTCTAAACTTGGCATTTCAAGAAATTATCAAAAGAATTCAAAGTTTCTAGAAGGTAAAATAAATAAGCACGTGTTTACCATGTCAGAAGACAAAGTACAAATTCATTTACAATACATACAGTTCAATAAATGATAGAAAAGAATTTGTTCAATAAATGGGAAGATGAATGAGCCTACTGAAAAATGAGCAAAGACAAAGAGTGGTCAATTGAAAAACACAAATTTACAAAGCCTATAACAATTAAGTAATTATATTAACAATTAAATTGCAAGGAAATTTTCTACACTAGATTGACCAAAAAAACTAAGTTTGAGGATATATATATATCTTCACCTCCACCCCATGATCCAGCTGTCCTACATCTGGACATTGGGTCCTCTTGACTATTTATATTAAATACAAGTACAAGTGCAAGGATTTTGATTGCAACACTGTAATAAAAAACCTAGATAATCCATATAGAAATCATATTGGAACTAGTTAAATAAGTCACCGTAGCTCTATACAACATAATTCTATGCACATATTAAATGAATTAGTTAGATCTCATTTGTAAGATAAGACTGTATATTTAAAAGACAGAAAATATGTTCTTAAGTGGAAAAAGCAAGTGTGGAAGATTATGTTCATTATTACTTTTTGGTTAAAAATATACATATATAGACATAGGAAAAGTTCTAGGAAGAAAAATGTCAAATGTTAGAAGTGGTAACCTATGTGGTTAGATTGTGATAGGACCTCCATTTTGTATGTTTTATGTGTCTGTACTGTTTCATTACCTCAACAATGTAATTTTTATACAAATTGATAAATTTTTATTTTAAAATGTATTTAGTTTTCAAGCAGCTCTTTATCAAAGACATGGTTCTATAAGTGGCTTGGGATCCTCAGTAGAATTTCTGAAGATTTTATTTAAAGGGAGTGAGAAAGTAATAGAATAGTATGTGTTTCTTTAGGCAATGTGCTGTATAATATTTTATTGTAATCTAGAGACTTTGTGGTAATTACTAAAGTTAAAGCAGTATTACCTTAAGCTGTTGACTCCCCTCCTAAGTAAAAATAATTTTAAAGAAACAAAATAATCTATGCTTTTCCACATGAATACAGTGTTTGAAATATTTATATATACATAAAGTAGGTCATATTTCACCCTAGTTGTCATCAATTCATCTAATTCTTGACATGATATATAATTTTTAATGACTTGCAAAAAATTCTGGAAGAACTCTCTCCAAAATCATCTAAGCATTAAGATCAAAAGTTTTAGTGACACTAAACAGAGGCAAAACTTAAGACAATACTTCCTCCTTTTCTATCATAAAATAGATAAGTTTAGCTCACAAAAACACAGTACAGGCAGCAATGGAGATTTTCCATAGCATCTTTTGATACATAGTACCGCTGCAAACTTCAACAAATTCCTAAGACATTTTAAAATTAGCAATTCAGTTACTAGCTCCAAAATAAATCATTGTATTTATGCAATGGCTGAGACAGTCTTAGGAACATGGTAGGAAGTCTCTCTGTGTCTGAGTGACTCAACAGTCTGACAGCCACCCCAAGTAATCCCCTTGAAGGTCCAAAGTCAGAATCATTTCTAAGATTTGTCATCTCTAGTAGAGTAGCTAATGTGCTCTCTTGGTCCCTTTTACTTAAGTGAATTCAATAAATGATGCTGGAAGTACTTCACTAGGTAGAGTCTGTTAATTTACTAAGAAAGGTGTTTGACTTCCCATAGAATGTACAAACTGAGTTTGTACTGAAGATTTCTCTAAGAACTGTCGTAATGCTTGGTATTTAAAGAATAACAACCAAAAAGAATACATTCAGCTGAGAGAATGGTTCATTTTAGGTGGCTTAATGAAGAAATAATTGGATACAATTTGACATTTACAATTTGATAATGATAGGTAGACTGTACTTGTCCCTTTACCAGGAGAACAACTATAGAACAGCTTAGGTTCATATGCAGAAGACACCTTATTTTTTTTCTGCCTTTTTTTATTTTTTTGAGATGCAGTGTCACTCTGTCATTGCCCAGGCTGGAGTGCAGTGGTGCCATCTCGGCTCACTGCAACCTCCACCTCCCGGGTTCAAGTGATTCTCCTGCCTCAGCCTCCTGAGTAGCTGGGATTACAGGTATGCACCACCATGGCCGGCTAATTTTTGTATTTGTAGTAGAGACGGGATTTCACCACGTTGGTCAGGCTGGTCTCGATCTGACCTCAGGTGATCCACCCGCCTCAGCCTCCCAAAGTGCAGGGATTACAGGCACGATCCATCGTGCCTGGCCTGTTCTGCATTTTTATTATTACATAAACAGTATTCTGGAAAGGCTGGAAAATTTAAAAATCGCCTCTCATCTTATTATGTTTTCCCACTTTCTGCCTTTATGCACATAAGTGATTATTTTACACAGTTTAATCACAACATATGCAATTTTATATGATTTTTGAATTCATTTTCCTAATGAAAAAGTGTTTCTCAATAAGCAACTTTCTTCTTAAAAATGACACAGCCATTTCAAGAGGGAAGGGTAGAAAAATATTTTAATTGAATCAGCTACTTATGAATATAGTATTTTATATTCCTTTTTGTAATATTTTGGAATCTCAGCAAAGTCGTAGATCTTTTCCTAATTCTGCTCTCATTAAGTTACTCTGAATCAAACCCATAAGTCTGAGTCTACTCCGTAGTGCAGTATTCCTGCTGAAATACTTAGAGATTGAAGTGCATTTGTTAGACACTTGCAAATTATCATTCGCTTAATCTGTAATGTAAATGTTCGCTCTTTTTCATTTCTAATTTTACTTGCTTGTGATTTCTCCTTTTTTTTGTTTCTTGATGGCTCACTGTCCAGTAGTGTCTCTTTTTAACAAATGTTTTTTGACTGCTTAACAATTTTGTGATTTACAATTTCTCCTTTGATCATCTTTGTGTCTTTCATTTGACTTCCTTATATTCACTGTATTATTCCATTTATGCCTTCTTGACTTAAAAACTGATCCTTTTTCTTTTAAAAATATAAGTATTAAAAGCTACATATACTGTATCCGGAGGTGTGCGGGGATTATTTTTCAATTCTTAAAATGTGCAAATATGCCTTTTGATTTAAAAGTTGCTTAAAGGTACATTTTTTAATTTTGAGGATATGTTAGTTATGAATTTGTTAATGATTATATTTTGTATTTTATTGCATTGGGTCAGACTGTAGAATGTATTTATATTTCAGGGCTAAAACAATGTTTTTGTCACTTAGTAGTCCATTTTGTAAATTTCTAAGCAAGTTTAAAAATGGTTTCTGTTATACAGGTTTTAATCATATGCATATATATGTTGTATTTATGTATATTTCACATATACATATATGTATAAACATATATATGTATATATATATTTATCCATATTATGTAATCCTTACTAATAATTCACATCTTTCATATCTTTTTGTTTACTTACTTTTCTTCCTTTCACATCTTTTGGTTACTTACTTTTTTTTTTTTTTTTTTTTTGAGACGGAGTCTTGCTCTGTCACCCAGGCTGGAGTGCAGTGGCACTATCACGGCTCACTGCAACCTCTGCCTCCCGGATTAATGCCATTCTCCTGCCTCAGCCTCCCGAACACGCCTGGCTAATTTTTTTGTATTTTTAGTAGAGATGGGGTTTCACCATGTTAGCCAGGATGGTCTCGATCTCCTGACCTCGTAATCTGCCTGCTTCGGCCTCCCAAAGTGCTGGGATTACAGGTGTGAGCTACCATGCTCAGCCAAGGTTACTTACTTTCTTAATCTGTCTTGGGCGGGGGGTTGACAGAGGTTAATTAAAGCCTATAATCACCATTGTGTTTGTCAGTTTCTTTTTTTAACCTTCCTTTAATTTATGCTATATGGGTTTTTGTGCAATAGAATTTGGGTATACATACTTATACCCTCATTATGACCTTTAATATTTACTACAAATTTCTTATTTATAGCTCTGTTGACATAGTTTATCTTGAATCTAGCTTTGTACAATAAAAATCAACAGCAGCTTTGTTCTTGTTAGTACTTCTAGTATATTTAACCTTTCTAAATCTAAGTTAGAACGTTTCTAATTCTTATTCTAATTCTTCTAAATTAGAATCTTCTAATTCTAATAAGAACCTGTTCTTATGTTTGGTTTGAAGAAATCACACAACATACATTCTTATACACGAAAGTGTCTGTCCATCATCTAGATTCAAACTTCCTGGAGAGCTCCATATTTATTAATTTTTGAATCCTTTAAAATTCCCAGGGCCACGCATAAAGATTGGATTTAAAATATATTTGTTAGCTGACTTGAAATGTCAAAAAGAGTGAATCATCAGCAATAGAGCTGAAAAATAATCGACAATCCAGTGGTGATAAATTTGGGGCAGGAATTTTCCTGGCCTCCCTGGAAGCACAAAACCTCAGTTGCTACATCCTTCAACAATGTGCACCTGCTATTTCTGTACTTGGCACAGACTAATCGGACAGACACACTTCTAGTCAATAAGAAAGAAAGCACAGTCCCTTTTCAGTCACCTTGCCTTTACTACCAATCAATCCACAGGCAGTTCTACTTTGGAACGAGAGTTTAACTGCCCTGCTTGCTTCTCCGAGATCAATGTAATGGCTGAGAACAGCAATAAAGGAATAATTCAAACAAGTTTAAAATTCAAAGAAATACAGACAATTCACAGGCCTGAGAAAGAACCGCATCCAATGTAAGACGTTCTCTCTTTCCTCATTTCACTTAAGCCTCTTGTTATCTCTGCATCCTTGTAAGTTATGCTTCACTTACTTTAAAAGTTAGTCTTCCCAAATATCCTTTGATAGACATATTTCTGAATTCTTTACAACAACTTTTGAAAGAATAAGGCTGCAGTCACTGCATTTTTCTTCCTATGCTAGGCTCAAGTAGAAACTTAAAAAACATTTAAAAAGCAACTCCAAGGGTCAGTTGGTCTATCTGTTCTACCCACAGTAAAAAGAGTTTTGCCTTGAGAACCCCGAAAAACGTGAGATGTGGTGGAGAAATGTGGATAGGTTTGTTTTGTAGAAAAAAGGATTATATTTTTTAAAACAGCCATGTATGCTTAGAAGATAATCTACTAAGTGTTGTATTTCTGGATACAAATGGAAAAAAAAAACAATCACAGCTAGATAAAAACCAAACACTCGACTGATAGGAAGCTACGCTGAATGAATGCTTATCAGATTACCAGAACAGGTACTCTAAGTATGAAAATGCATGGTGTCTGGTATTTGAAAAAATTCAAAAAATCTCAAGAGCGCCTATGGCTTAGGGAAAGGAATACCTCTTCTCCTCTCTCCTTCTTTTGGTAAAGAGGAAAACTAATTTTGAAAGGTCATGTTCTTTGAGTATTAGTCAGTATAGTTTTCAATACTATAAGGTATTTTTTTTCACAATATATCAAACTAATGACATTGTTTTCTGAAATCGTATCAGTCAAGCTTTGTATACTCTGGTATGAAGTAATCATGATAATAAGCTGAAGTTAAAAACAAAAATAAATGAAAAGGATGGTAGTTGGGGGAAATAGAAATGTAGCAAATAGCAAAATATAGAAATGTTTAGATTTATTATTCACTCCACTTTTTATTTATTTTTATTTATTTTTTATTTTTTTTTCTTTTTTCTTTTTTTTTTCCACTCCACTTCTTAAATGGTTGTAACAGTAACAGGTGGAAGATAGAAAATGTTCTTTATTTCTAAAACCTTATTAGGGTTGTGAATTTTGCTCTTACAGCTTTGAAAGAAAAATTGGAAAGAAATTGAGCAATATGGTTCTCTAGTATGATATACATATATATTTGACAGAAACTAAATACATTCAAATCCAGGCAAATGAGTATCTTTTCTTTGTAAGTGTCAAAAAATATAATTTGGTTTCCAATTCATTTATATACTTCAGGTTTCTGTATTCTTTATCACTCTTCCCAAGTTAAATTTACAAACTTTGTGTCAGGTCACTCACTGCAGATGACTGAACAGGTGAGGAGCACTCTGGTACCAAGCACCCTTGTACATGTGTTGAAACCGCTGAGCAAGCTACAGTCTCATTTGTCAAAGTTTTCACATTCTGACAAAACTGACATTTTTATTCCAGGGATGAGAAATCTGCCCCTGGTCTTTTCTTCGTATTTAAATTTAAAGGGGGTAGAAAGCAAATAATCTTTTTAAAAAGTGTGAACACACATCTGACAAACATTCATGCCTTTGAATAATGGACGGGTAATTTTAAATACCCACTTAGATTCTTAGGCTCTTTAAGTCAAATGGCCCAATTGTTTCTTTTTCTTCTTCTTTCTTGAGACAAGGTCTTGCTCTGCCACTCAGGGTAAGTGCAGTGGTGCAATCACAGCTCACTACAGCCTCAACCTCTCAGGCTCAAGGGATCCCCCTACCTCAGTCTCCTGAGTAGCTGGGACTACAGGCACGTGCCACAACACCCAGTTAGTTTTTTGATTTTGTAATTTTTTTTAGAGATGGGATCTTGCTATGTTGCCCAGGCTGGTCTCGAACTCCTGAACTCAAGCAATCCTCCCACCTTGGCCTCCCAAAGTGCTGGGATTGCAGGAGTGAGTCACCACACCTGGCCTCCCAATTTCTTATTTATCTTTTGTTTGTATAAAACCTACTGAAAATGATGACTCTAATTCAATTCAGTGGGGCTCTCCCTAGCTTCCATGGTTTGGAGAACATCACTTTTCTACTTTTGTGCTACATACACATATACACAATAACTCTGTATACATTTTTAATTCACAATGCTTTCTAAACAAACTTCCTCTGTGGTGGTAGATCTCATATGGAACAGAATACAAACCCCACAGTTTATAGATTTGGGCTGCAGCAATACTGGCTAAAAACAGTTGTCTGGTGCTGAGTTGTATCTTCTCTGAATTCCATCAGAATTTAAGTTACAGGATGGATTTAGAAATAAATGGCTCAAGTGGCATAATGAAAGTTGTGACTGGTGGGAAAATGCACCTAAAAGAACTGCAAATTCAATTCAAAAAATATTCAGAAATCTTACACATTTTGTGTTTTTGACCTAGGTCTTTAGGTCCTGAGGTTTTGAGGTTAAAAACAGAAAGAAACACCATCTATTCTCCATGGCAAAAACGGCTTGTAATCCCCCAATATCCATTTTTCTCTTCATCCAGAAGAAGAGAACCACTGATTTTTAGCCAGATATATAGTTCCTGAGAATAGAGATAATACTTCTCAGCCTCCTTTGAAGCTAGGTAAATCCGAGAAAGTTTCGGCTAAAAAGATATATGCAGAATTTGTGTAGCAATTAAAGGAATTTTCCTTAAAGAGACAGCTGAAGCTTTTGCTTCTTTATATCTACACTGCCCCCTGGAATGTTGATGGGATGGAACTCTAGCTTCCATCTCTGACCATGAGCATGAAGGTCCCACCCAGGAATGCTCCAGGAACGCTGGAGCAGCAAGGCAGAAGAAGCATGTCCCTGACAGCTGTGTGAAGTGGAACCACGAGATCATCCCTAGACTGACCTGAATGGGCTTTCACAGGAGAAAGAAACCCTTCCTGTGTTTAAACCATTGTGATCCTGGGCCTTTGTTCTTTCAATTGGACTGAATCCTAATGGATACGCTCTCAATGAAGGCGCATATTGAAGAAGTAATTACATGTGTAATGAAAATAGAAGTAAAGAGTGTTTTAGAGGCTAAGCATATTGTCTATGCATTGTCTGTCTCCACACTTACTACTAATTAAGTGGTAGAAATGACATTTTTAGAATTCATTTTCTTTGGCTCAGTAATTTCTTTTCTGAGCATTTATCCTAAGAGGACAAATCTTAAACACAGATAAAACTTCTTGCATGATGATGTCTATTACAGCGTTATTTATAATAGTAAAAGCACGCTCACTGTTCAAAGGAAACAAACACAAATTTACATTGCATTGAATATTGTGTAGGTAATAAATATATAACCATGAGGACTATATAGCAGCATATGATATGCTTCTAAGTCTGTTTTAAAACAGCATTAAAAGCTGTATATATAGCATAACTATACACATAGGAAGAATGAGAATATATAAAAACTGCTGTTATTAGTTATATTTGAATGATATAATTACTGATATTAAATTTTAATTTTGAAGATACATCATATTTAATTTTTTAACATTCTAAATTTTCTTTAATGAGCATGTGCCAGCTAACATAAAAATCACGTCAAAACAAACTTAAAAAAAATTTCCCTGGCTCTAGGAAACTATCAAGATAAAATGAAATAGGGACAGTAATAAGGTCTTGCAATTACATTTAAAATAGTAACACAAGGTTAGGGTGTCTGACTTACAGTATCTCAGAGGCCTGACCTACAGTATCTCATATGAAAGAAACACAAGAGTTTTAGTTGACTGTAAGCTCAGTATGAGTTGATAGTGGTGTGATGTGACTATTAAAAAAGCTATTCTTAAGTGATATGGAAGAATAACCGTAAGGTTCAAAAAAGGATAGTAACAACCTATTGATCTATGTACTCATCAATCCAGTTTTAGAGCACCATTATCAGTTCTTGGCAACACATTTTAAGAGAGACTTTGACTACTGCCACATGTCCACAGGAGAGTGTGTTGAAGGTATCTGGAGAAAATATTATATGAAGAGTCATTAAAGAAATTAGGGATATTTACCTTAAATACATGTTCACAACCAAGGCACGTTAATTGACTTCAAACATGTGGCGTGTGCTAGAAAGATCAGATTTAGACTCCATAGTTTGAGGGATAGAATCAGATCCAATATGAAGCAAATTATGAGGCTTTTATGAGACATGAAGAATTTAAGACATATATTGTTTAAAATCTTATTTTTAATTCTGTCTTCTTTCTATGACCCTTTGGGCACATATAGTCCATTTCCTCCTTGTCTATTAATGAATATTTGAATTTTTACTAAAATCAAAATCCTATTTTGACAAGAAGGCATTAGTTAATACTTTTATTTATGAAACAATATAAACCGAACCAAACCTTGTAAATAGTAAGAGTCTTATTCAGCTCCAAGATTTTGTTGCTGAATCTGTATCTATCTGAAATACCACCCAGTCAATACCTTTAAAGTATAAACTTCTTTCAATATATTATCTTTTTTGAACTTAGCAACAACCCTGCATCATAAAGATTATTTGATTTTTGTCCTACATATTTGTGGTCGGATTTTTCACCATGGTTTTGACTTCTTTCTCCATTTTGGTATTCTATTTCAATTGACTTAATGCAAATTCTGCCAATCTCTTTGTGGAACAAAGGAGGCCACGGGAGTGCAGGGGAAAAGACTCTCATATTAGTAAATCAGGAAATATAGGTTTCTTCAAGGCCATATAACTCAACTATGAAGCAGATGTGACTAGAACTGAGAGCCTCTGATTCCAGGCCGATTTCTGCTCTCTCACGGCTGCCCCTCCAAACTCCTATTTCTCTCCTTCTCTAGTCTAGGGTTATCACTATGAACTAGCAGATAACACAGTAAATAGTGATATGGACAGGAGGCAAGGAAATTCTGGGTAGAAGAGGGTGCTTCCCCGGCAAAGGCCCCCACCTCAAGCCTGGAAACCTGGTGGCCCTAAGTGGGAATAGGCATTCCTGTTTTCATGCTCAAATGTTGCCTTTTCCAAGACCACTCTGGCCTGCCACACCCCTATCCTGTGCTCATATAAACCCTAAGCTCCACAAGCAGAGGAACAGAACAGCAGCAGAAAGGTACAGCAGAGAAGGAGAAAAGAGAAGGAGCATTTGAACATCAGGAGGTGTTTGGCTGGGGACAGTCAGAGAGGAGATTGGCTGTGGGATGGCCAAGCTCCAGGGGAAGATCATCTTCCCACTCCATCCCCTTTCCAGCTCCCCATCCATTCTGCTGAGAGCCACCTCCATCACTCAGTAAAATCCCCACGTTCACTATCCTTCAAGTCCATATGACCTGATTCTTCCTGGATGCCAGACAAGGACCCGGGTACCAAGAGGGCAGGGTGTAAAAGGATGTCACCCTAACTCTCCACTGAGCTGGTTTAACACTTAGCCATCCATGGATAGCAACTGCTAAAAGAGCACTAATTGTAACACACCTCCAGATGCTACTGTGGGGCCAGAGCCCAGAAGCACTTGGCCCAGCTCCTGCACCGGCCCATCTGCATGCCCCATGTCCTGTAAGGGGGTGCGGGCCAAGCAAATGAGCCACGCCCCTGTCACAAGTCCTGTGAGGGGGTCAGGGAACGCTCCCATTTCATAAATAGATCTCCAGTAACCTCATTTAATACATCAATTTCTTGGCATTCTTAAATTCTAAGTAATTTTTCATCATGTTTATGTTTGTCTTAACAACCTCACTTCAACTGGAATCTACAAGGTATGACTAAAGTTCAAAAAGATGGGCCAACTAGATAGGACTAAGTTTTCTGGATGCAGAGAAGAAAATTACCACCCCCATATATATGTTGTTCATGTCTGTTCTTCAGGAAGTCAAATGTAGTCAATAAACGTGACCAAGATATGTCTGCCCTTCCCCCGACACACACACAACTTTAGAAGGATGCTGAGACATCACGTTATCTAAAGAGCATTAGATAATCTATATAAGCAGTTGTAAAACTTTAGGAAATGCAGTACTACTGAAGTATTTGTTTTTTTGTAATGTAGGTCAAATGATTCTTCAACCCAGAGGTGTAGGCTCCCTATCCACCCCTAGGCTGCCTAGCTTTCCAGTTCAGGTACTTTTATTTGAGAAACCAGCCATATTTGACTGAATTACCATGCTGAAATCCTAGATTCTTTTCCTAGCCCTCTCACTCTAACTAGCAATTCTCTGAGACAGAAAGTAAAAAGACTTGGGGAAAGGCACAGGCCAGAAAAGACAGCCTCAATGTTCCAAAGACATGCCATATCCCCCAACCCTACCCAGCCACCCCGAGAAAACAAGCTAGAGCCTATAGTTTACATTAATTGCTCTCTGGTTAGAGGTTACTTTTCTGGTAGGCCAGAGGCTGTTTCCAGGAGTACAGAATAAAGCCATCATCAATCATTCATCAGTTACAATTACCATTTGCATCCATTTAATGACAGCCTGCAGTAGCTACCACCCATGAACAGTCCAAAATCAGAAACACAGAAACATTGAGAGTGATTATAATATAATTGCCTACAAATTCTCTAACACTATCAAAGATATATGTCTCGCCCGTTCATGTTTCATTTAATGAGTAATACATGTTCTCTCCCCCGCATATCACATGCCTATAGAGGGGTAAAGGAGGGTAGAATAGCGCATGGCAACCAGAATATATGGGCCATCATATGCCAAATTTCTTCAGACTAGAAAAGGCACAAATCCTTTGGGGTGCTCATTCCTGGGACTGTGGTTTTAAGCATGGTCTCTTTTTATGTATATAACCACATGAAGTGCATAATTATGCAAAGCTGCCTTATATTTCCATTCATCTTCCACTCTGCTCTTGCTCATGTATCTCCCCAATCATCATCTTCCTATTGCTGTTTTTTCTTTCTTTTTTTTTTTTCAACCGGGCTTTATCTCGGCAGTTTTTACATCAGGTTCTTTTCAAAATTACACTTAGCTTTGACATTTCTACATGTTCACTTTATCCATGACACCTTTTGGGTGTCATCACAAATACTAAAGCTCTAAAGATGGTCACTGACAGGAAACTAAATGACCTTCCTTTTTTCCTGTATTCCGAAATGTCTCCTGCCTCTTTTCATAATCGTGCACACATGTGTGCATGTGTGTGTGTATGTGTGTGTGGACTCAGAATCATACCTCATTGGCCAGACATATACTGAATTGGTTTCTGTTTACTTCTTGTTGTATCATTCACATGCTTATATACTTTCTACTCTATACGGCCTAGTTTAAAGGACTTGAACCGTCTAAACGTTTGTTTTCCAATCTCTAATTTGAAAATGCTAATAGCTATTTTATAGGGTTTTTATGATGAGTAAATAATGCCTAAGACTGCACAAGGCATTTAAATCTGCATTTAATAAAGGTTTCTTCCTCTTCCCCTTTCTCACGTGCTCAAATAAGTCAAAGCTTTCTTTTATCATTTTTTATTTTCTAGAGACAGGGTCTCATTCTGACGTGCAGTGGTGCAATCATAGCTCATTGTATCCTCAAACTCGTGGGCTCAAGCTACACCGGCACCTCAGTCTCTCGAGTAGCTAGGACTACAGGCACACATCACCACATTCAGCTACATTTTTTAAAACAGATGGGGTCTTGCTATGTTGCCCAGGTTGGTCTTGAACTCCTGGCCTCACAAAGTGTTGGGATTATAGGCATGAGCCACCACATCCAGCTAAAATGGTAAACCTTTACCTGAATATTTATGTATAACACAATTTATTTTGAAAAGATATATTTAAATAATATAACACCTAGGTGATAGCAACATTATTTTGTTGTTAAAGGATACAATTCTAGCAAGACTTAAATTGTATTAATTCACTGTAATAAGGTACAAAGACCTAGGAAAATAAGAATTTCTCTAGTTAAATGATGCCTATGTCACATAGGCTGGCCTTGCTATTGGATGTATAAATATAGCTAAAAAACTTTGTAAGAAACTTCATGTTTTGTTACACTTCATGCTTGCCATTTTAAAATCTTAACACATTAAATTGAAGGATGGCATGGGAGGGAGAAAAGGGGAGCAAAAAAAAAATTAACTGTCGAGTTACCTCAGATGGATTTAACATAATTTCTTTTGTTTTTATGGTAAAAGAATCAGTTGCTGTTTGCATCTTAGTTGAAAATACCCTCAAGGAACTTGAAAACTTTGGTCGAGACAAAGTACTATTTTCGGTTCACTATCTCCTCCCCTTTCTCAGCCCACACTCAGATCTGTTCTTTCCCTACAACGGGTGCTGAAACCTCTGTACTCCTCAGTCCTGTTATATATGAAGCAGCATAAAAATTGCCTTCACTGGGGTGTATGACAGGCCTATCTTTAGCCTGTAATAATATGATAATTAGGTTCCAGGATATTTTAAGTGGAAGGAGAAGGTGGGTTGCTCAGTTGCCAGGATGCTCATTCCTGCTTCCGCATGTAGATCTATATTCTCCCTCCTGCCTGGAATGTTCGTTTTCCATCTCTCTCACTTGCCTCTTTCACTTTTTCGCCTATTTATCTTAGACAATTGCTAAGGCTCAACTCAAAGGCCTTCCCAGAGCATGACCGTGATTTCTCCTATACTTATACTTCTTGCTACCTATTTTCTGAAATACATACATAACTGTATTTTGCTACATACTGTCTTCTTCATCTATGTAGATCTTATGTCTTCCAAGTGACTATGATGCTCTTCAGATCAAACAGGATGCATGAGCACTGTGCTTGCTAGGCTTACAGGGATGAGTAATATTTATATTGATGTTTCTTAGAACTTGCAATTTTATTTGACAGGGAAAGATGATCTCTCATGCCTTCAATGTTCAGCAATTGGATGTTTTTAGACTGTTGCAAAACTAAATAATGAACAAGTAATGTTAAAGCCAATTAAAATGGAGCTCAAATGCCTATGTGTAAGATCTAACTTGAATCAATTTACTGTTGTGTATTTTAGTTTTTTTTTTTTTTTTTTTTTTTTTTTTTTTTTTTTTTTGAGACAGTCTTCGCTCTGTCGCCCAGACTGGAGTGAGGTGGTGCGATCTCGGCTCACTGCAAGCTCCACCTCCCAGGTTCACGCCACTCTCCTGCCTCAGTCTCCTGAGTAGCTGGGACTACAGGCGCCCGCCACCATGCTCGGCTAATTTTTTTGTATTTTTAGTAGAGATGGGGTTTCACCGTGTTAGCCAAGATGGTCTTGATCTCCTGACCTCATGATCCGCCCGTCTTGGCTTTCCAAAGTGCTGGGATTACAGGCATGAGCCACCGCACCCAGCCTCAAATTAGTTTTTATGAACATTATCTTTACAGACTTTAAAATGCTTTGACCATGGGTATGTTATAAAACTAGAAGCCATTTAAAGATATTTTATATAGTAAAAATGGGTTAATACACTCATCAGCAGTTATGCATGATTATCTAAAGGAGTAATGGGATTTATGGTACATCAATTCTATAAATATATCCAACTGTTTATACAGCATTTCTTAGAGGTAACATGCAAAATGAAATATGCAGAAAAGAACTTGAAAAAATACCCCTTGTTCACATATTTTGAGATGCGACATTAGAGTTATTTATTCATAAGAATTTCATAATACATTAGTAAGCATGCCGCAGGATATTTTGGAAAAGTAATGAAGGCTTAATAATGCAAAATTTTTCTCCAGCCTTCTTTTCTAAGAAACAAATGAGGTGAGACTTTCATTTAAGGCTAAGACTTTAGCTCTTCCTGTTCATAATCTCATTTATCACTTCGTCCTGTGCATTTGTATATCTGCTTGTTCTTTTATGAATCTGCTCCCGCTCCTCTGCTAGACTCTAAGCCCTCTAGAGACAGATCCAGGATTTGACCCCTTTTTGCAAGGCCTAGTGGCAGAGTGTCCATTGTAAAGTACTTGCACATGATAAGAGGAATAAAAGCTTGCCAGACAGACAAGGGGAAAGGAATGAGAATGAATGTGAATGATGATCTAGTTAGCACCTACTGTCTACTCAAGACTGTGCCACTATGCTACCTTGGCATTTGATCAAACTTATTAATCCGCACAGCTACGTTTACCCAAAATCTTCATGCAACATTTACTGAAAGCATCTTCACTCCTTGGCAGTTTTCTCCGCATGTCCCCAGGGAAACTCATAAACAGATGAGGACATTAAATATACATGTGGTACTGTGAGTTCTGGATTGTAATGGTCGGGGTAGGAGTACAAGGGAGAAAGGCTCTTTGAAAAAGCGAGGAGCTGGCCTTAGCGAGAGCATATTGGCAGGTAGAGGAGCAGAAATATCAGCAGGAAGGTGGGAACAATTTGGGAGGTGCTGGAGTCTGAAGGCAGTTTGCTGTTGCTGGACTGAAAAGGGCAAGGCACAAAATAGTGAGGAATGAGTATTTAACAACAGACCATGTCCTAAAGGACTTGATGACCTAGTAAATGGGCTTGAGCTTCGTCTTCTGGGTAGGCAATGAGCATCCATCAGCTATTTAGGGAGGAGAGTAACAAGATGTTTTGGATAGTTTACTCTGGCGTCACTCCCTGGTTAAAACCCTTAGATGATTCCCTAATGCTCTTCGAATAAAACACACACCTCCTGCGATGGCCTACCAGTTTTCCCTCCTGCCTACCTTTTTCTCTCATATCCACACCAAATTCAGCCACTATTCCCTGTCCTAGGTCTCTTTACTGGTCTTCAGAAGCGCCAAGGCCTTTGCATTTTACATTTGTTCCCCCTCTGCCCAGATTCCCTTTCCTCAGCTCTTCTTGCGGTGGGTTCTTTCTCATTCTGTAGATCTTACCTCTTCAAAGGGATCTTTCACAGAAACATTATTAATGGGACCTTCCTCCATTATTCTATGTGTTTTGAATTTGCTAATTTACTCTATAGCACTTATCATACTGTCTATCTTGATAGTTACACTTTTGTTATACTTGGTATATTATCACTTCCCTCCCAGAATGTCATAGGAGCCCTTGAATTCTTGAATTTGATTTATCACAGGCACGTTAGCACAGTGGTACCTGGTACATGGACACCACTTAAATAAATGTCTGTGTGTGTGTGTGTGTGTGTGTGTGTGTGTGTGTGTGTGAATATATGAATATAATGAATATACTTAGAAGGTGAGTTAGAGGAAGACGCCCAGTGGTAGGGTCAGAATTTGCATCTAAGGCTTATCTGACTCTAAATTTCACCTTTATCCACTATCCAAAATATTCCTCTTTGTTTTAGAGTAAATATATATTCCATTCATTCATATTGTGAAGCAAATGCTATAGATGATGACTCAGCCTACAGACACTGTTCTCAAGACAAAACCAAATATAAAATAAGTAAAAATGCATTTAACTTGCCTAAGAGATACTTTTGTGCTATGAAAGCATATATCTATCTATAGAACTATTATAACACAAAGAATGTTTTAATTCTTACATGGTTAATTAGCAAATCTGGGGAAAGATACGGTGTTTCCCCATTTATTTCTCAGAAAAGCCTTAAGAAAGACAATAGAGAAATAACCTCCGTGCAAAAAAAGCTATTTTTATAATATGTCAAAGCACATTAATATCCTCTACAGCATTTTAGCACCAAAATTAACAAGTGGAATTTCTTAAATAAAATTAAAGTCTGTCTTATACAAACTTAGGCTGGTTTTCTTTTGCTTCCTTTTTATATTGCTTCATATAGTATTTGTACCCTACCTTGGGAAATATATGCAAAATTCTCTAAAATAAATTTGATATACTAAAATGATCTTAATTTACTACATACGTCTAGATCCTTTTATTCTATTTTTTTAAGTCAGGTAATACTCTATACCATAAGCTAAATAATATACAGCAATTAAAATATTATGTATTTCCCTTAAGACAAAGAAATATATCCAGTCAGAAATAACTTCCTATCAGGAATAATGGGTGAGGATAATATTAAAGGTGTAACTTCCATTTTGAATTCAATTCAATTTCAACCCCTTTTTAATGATATAAGTTCTCAAATATTATAATAGCATGCTTCAGGATCATCTGAGATTCTTAATAAACATGAACACTGGCAGGCCCCAACCTATGTGATGTGGCGCTCAGATATATACATTTTAAAAGTACTTCAGGAAATTATGGGGGGAAATGGGGGTGATGTTTTACATTTTCTAAATTTCTGGAGCTCTACCAAAAGAAAAAAAAAGATTCTTGGGAAGATACCTAAATTTTATAGTACCTATAGTTTATAGCACTTTTCCATCCATTATTTCACGTAATTTTCAGTACAACAGTAATATAGGAAGAAGAGGTATAGGTGTGCCCATTTTAAAAATACAAACCAAAATTCAACTGACTATCTTTCCACATTTGTTCTACTTACTAGCAAAGTACAGTTATATTTATTCAGTCAAATAACAAATATTTGAAGACCTGCTTTTGTGCCAGGCATTGTTCTAAATACTTGGAATAAATCAGTGAACAAAATAGATAAAAATCTTTCCCTCATGGTGATTATGTTCTGGCAGTTGGAGACAGATATGAGCAGTAGAGATAATAAATACATAAATAATGAAACTAATATTCATTCCAATACGATCTATTCAAGGTAACCAGAAAGTCATCTTACACAGATTATCAAACAAATTTTTGAAACAAATGGGCTATCCAGTTCATCAATTTAATAGGAAACACAACACTCCTTTGCCTTAGGAGTCTAGGTAATAGAGCCTTAAGTACAGCAACAGCATTTTGCAAATATGCAACCATTTTTCTATGTAGCAACAAAGCCTTACTGTATGTACACAGCTAATTCTAAACACATACACATCTTATTTCCCTTGTGGCTACATTATCTGAAGTGCAGAAGAGAAACAGAATCCACATTATCCAATCTATTCTGTAGATGGCACTGCAGGTCCAACAGTGGGCTTGGCTCATAAGTCTTGCTATCACTGTCGGGCTCAGATAAGTGTCACATTGAACTGCAGGAAAACCACATTCATTCTAAAAGCAGAAATCACTTTGCAATGGCAACCGTCTTATACAATTGCAGGACACAACTCCAATTTGTAATTTATTTGAAATTTTTCTTATAATGTATTAGGTCCCACAAAGGCTGAACTGGTGAAATCATTCTGTTTATCTTGTAGCATCTATTTTAGTTTATTGCCAGGAATAGAATAATGTCTGTTCCCTAAAGTGGAAAAATGTTTCATTGATAAACCTATACATTATAAATCATTCCTGTGGGCTCTAGGTCTGACTAAACCAAAGGCATGCTTTTTATGGCATTTGAGTTTCACTTCCTACCCCAGGAAGTTAAGTAATATTCTGCAGGGAGGCAGATTAATGTCCGCTGAAGGTAAAGGATGAAGGGATAAAGTCAGAGGTACTGCACCACAGTTGGACTCTAATGCCAAGGAGGGTGAGCCTCTCATCTTGAGCCAGAGCAAGAGCTGCTGGAAGTCAGCTGAAGTATCTAAGAAAGAGAAAAGTCAGGCTTTGGGTCCTGAAACCCAGACTTCTATTTTATCTTGTATTGACTGATGGATTGATTAACCTTTCTGCAGGGGTCACTAATGGCGAACGTAATGCAACTATAGAAGAAGGAACAAAACAATTCAAACTATGCCATAGGAATTGGACTAGTATCTTTTCCCATACACTTGAATTACACTTATTTTTTTTTTTTCTGGCAAAAAACAAGTTCTAGCCCAGAAAACAAGTCATGGTTGATCAGACATTCAATCGCATATTCATCAGACTGGCTTTTCTTTACAGGTACATCCTGAAACATATATAGTTGGGACGGCAATTCTAAGCAGTTTATTATCATGGCAAGTCGAGTGTCAAGTTGAAGTTTCTCAATTAAAAAAAAAAAATTCTAGCCAGGCACGGTGGCTCATGCCTGTAATCCCAGCACTTTGGGAGGCCAAGGTGGATGGACCACTTGAGATCAGGAGTTCCAGACCTGCCTGGGCAACATGGTGAAATCCCATCTCTACCAAAAATACAAAACAATTAGCTAGGCATAGTGGCTCATGCTTGTGGTCCCAGCTACTCAGGAGGCTGAGGTGAGAGGATCGCTTAAGCCTGGGAGGCAGAGGTTGCAGTGAGTTGAGATGGCTCCACGTCACTCCAAGCTGGGTGACAGACTGAGACTCCATCTCAGAAAAAAAAAAAAAAAATCTTAGATAGCTGAGAAAACCCAGTCCTCCTACAGTCCTCACCCTCTTGGCTGTTTCTGCTCTGTGTGAAACTGTGCCATGCAGGCTGTACTGAGCTCTTGCAGCTGATGAACACTGGGTCGCCCAGGCCAAGGCAATAGCTACTGCCATGGCTACTCTCTCTTGCCTTTTGTCTGAGTCAGTTACTTTAAGAGACTGACAGGAGAAGATGAGGTGTTCTCTTTCTCTCCCTTCCTTAGCGTGTGTTGCTTCAAGCAGTCACTCATATTTCCCACTCATATGGCCAACTGAACCTTAGTGACTTTTACCAAGAGTGTGGAATAATACAGAGACAGATGCTTCAGATCCAGACGCAGTCTGAGGGTGCTAGAATGATGAGAAAGCCAGGTGGCAATCTGGGCACACAGAGAAAGAAAGGATGTAATACATCAGTCCTGACCCACAGTTCCTCAGCTCACCACAATTATTTTATTTTTCAATTATCGAGGAATTGAGGTACTGAAAGGAATCTGACAAAGACCCAGGGCTCTTAGAGTCCTGGGGGGCAACAGCATGGATCAGAAAACCAACAGACTGTCAATGCAATGCCATTACTCTTCTTTTTCTATAGCTCAGGTTTCAGTGCACGGCTGAGTGGTTTGCCTTAAAGAAGTCACAAAATTTACTACAAGGTCAATGCATCATTTGGCATAATAATTTCAGTAACTCTAATATCACACATGATGTATTTTAATTGAGAAAAAATCAAAATGACAACTTTTTAGTGAGGCCCTGATTCAGCACTCATTGTTCTGTGCATTCACAGTTGGCGGTTACCAAGGGGGGGAGCTGTCCAAGAGGATTCTGCTCTCTGCCCTCCAGCTAAAAACAATCCTATAGGCTACTGGTACAAATTAACTTAGACCTCAAGCATATCAATTATTATTTGTCTCAATTCGTGTCTTTTGTAGGCAATTATTTGTCTTCATGCTTCCAAGGATTCTGTTAATCCACGTTGTAACACAATTCTCAGAAAAAAGAAAACTTACCTACAGGACATAGGAAGTTATGCAGAAAATAATTACAAATGTAATCTGGATGTAGAAAGAAAAAAAAGGAAGCAGGAAGCCAAAACATAAATTCTAATCTGTAATTTAAAAAAGGAATACCCTTAATATGACAGCATAGTGAACTTAGAACTAAATAATCATGATTTTTAAAAGTCACGAGACACCAAAATTAGATTGGGGGAGGAGGAACTTACGGATTTTTTGAGGGTGGGGTGGGGAATGTTGTACCACTAAACAGCTATTTGTTTTCTGCAGTGAAAATCATGTGATGGTATATAATCTATTTTGTTTCCAAGAAAACAAGTGAATAGTTAATTACTCTAGACAGAAACATAATTGCATGCACATGCAATCACAGAAAACAGCTCATCTACTTGCCACTCCTTGGCTAATAATAATTTAGTGATGGGCATGTAAGTTATTATGGTCTTTATTTATTTATATTTTGCTAGGGCTGTGGCTCCCTTCCTGGACACTAGCCATTTTGCTCTGTCACAGTCATAAGGAAGGGGTTACATATGACATGTCCTCTGGCTAAAAGCTGTAGTGTGGGTTACTAAAGAAATATTAAGAGCTCCATGTAAAGAATAGGTTTCTTTTACCACTGCAGTTAATTGACATAAACAAATGTTTCCTTTCAACAGAACTTGTCCATTTTCAGTCCCATGTTCTATGCTCCAGTGCTTTTCCAGACTTTGAGACGGTATTGCCTCTCAAATCACAAACATGTTATAAGGCCAGGGGTCATAAAACATATATACGATGAACGGGACCACCTAGACTGTTGTTCAAGAATCCATTTGTGAATTCTTAGGGAATTACTGGGTTCTGTGGAGTGATATGAAGATATTAAACGCTCAGGATTACTAAGAGATCCTGTTACACGAAAACAGAATGATTTCATTTTTGTGGCCCACCTTACTCTGCCAGTTGCACCTATGTAGCTGCACACCTTATGTAGGCCAATGCATGAGCACAGCAGCTCAGCTTTCAGAGCAGCCCTCTCAACCTTGGCTGCACAGGAAACACCTAGGGAGCTTTTCAACAAACAAAACAAAACAAAAACCCAGCATCTAGGCTACACCTGAGACCAATTACCTTGACCCTCAACATGTGGCACCAAGGCAGCAGTACTTTCTATAGACTCCCAGGTGATCCCGGTGCACAGCCAGGGTTGAGAATCCAGCTCTAACTGCATTTGCTTCAGCAATTCGTGAGGAGGTATCAAAGAAGGTAATAAGAAAAAACAAACAAACAAACAAAAAAAACCCCTGGCCCTTGGGCTTATTAGAAAGTCATCAGGCAACTAATGCTCTGCAAAATTCTCTTCAAGCATGTCTGAAAAGAAGAATCTCTCCATAGCAGACTTGTGAATTCTGAGATGCTGGTCAAAGATCCTAACTCTACAGTAAGTAGGAGTGTATGAGTGGTAAGCACATGGGCTTTGGCAGCAGATGGCCAGAGGAAAAAATAAATCCCAACTCCATTGCTTATAGGCTTTGTGATCCTGGGCAACAAAGCTAATATTTCTAAGCTTCTGTTTCCCCACCTGTAAAATAGTACTTGACACTATTAGATTACAGGAGACAAATTCACAGAAAGCAGTTGGAAGAGTTGCTGACACAAAAGGAAGCACTCAGTATTCACTTCATTTTTATGAGCTATTATTTTTTGCAGGAAAAAATAGTCCATAAATAAAGTGTGAAATTCATGTACAATGTTATGAACTTATTTCAGTGATTTTAAAAATCTTACGTGATAAAACACCCTATGTGATAGCATTTGTATTATACTTCAGACGGAACAGTTGCTTATCTATCTTTATGCTTTAAGATTCTAAGTAAAGTTTGGTAAGCAAAGCCTTCTGCAGTTTAAGAAGGAGTTTAAAATCCTTTGGCTTAACATCATTAATTTACTCTTATTGCATAGATTTAAAACACATCATTAGAAATATTTTGGGGCAACGGAATTTTCTACATGAGGCCTCTCTGACAATGTGAATTAGATGGATGCCTGCTATAAATGCAGGTAAAGCTACATGGCCAAGTTTTTGGCTTTCATGTGGTTTATGAGGCAGTTTTGTTTGGCACTGCACTGAGGAAACTCTGCTGACAGTGATAGTGATGCTGATAAGACTAAGGCACAGATTTTAACTGAATTAAAACCACTGGGAACATGATAAGCCTTGACTAGCACAGCGCTAAACGTGGCCTTGAATGTTCAGAAACTTTACAAGGCTTTAATATTTAGGGGAAAAGTTTGATATTCAGTTCCAGTGGAAATATCCTAATTCAGCTGTCCATCACACTCTCAATGAAGATAGAAGTATAATTTATTATTGTTATTACATTAGCTGGTGACTGGAAACACATTACCAATGTACAAATTAGAGTCTCTAATCCTAAGGTAATTATCAGCCAATTTCAGAGTTGTTAACAGGATTAAAATTATGAATACATTAGCTGATTCACCCTTGCAAATCAAATTTTGATTAGATAATACTACATGCTAATATGTATAACATTCAAATGTCATAAAAGGCTTTTTAGTATAAAAACTTTGATAAAATTTTTCAATAATGTATGCAAAGCCAGGGAGAGGGAATGAATGATTGATGGTTTTTCCTTATAAGCCTTATTAAAGGTCCTGATTTGGTTGGTCTCCAACTGTTTTGGCTCAGAATTAGGAATTCTAGTTTTGATGACAGCTCGTGTGCACTGATTAGAAAAACATCTCACAGAGCTATTAATAAGGCAAGTTAATCACTAGAAGCATAACAGTGGATGGAAAATATTTCATACTGAAAGTTCTTGAAGATCCTGCTTTTCAGTTTATTACAGGATATATCTTCTTAAAGAAGCATCATTGAACAGTTAGTACCTACATAAGTACATACTAACTCATTTCACGTAGGTGCTCTGTGAATTCTACCTGTAAGCATAATCCTTCTAGCAACAGTAACAGGCAGTGTAAAATGCAGTCAGGTGGGTGAGTAGTTGGTGAGTATGTAATTGTGACATTTTTCTAATGTCTAAAGAACTTCATTTGTGGTACATCTGGACTTTAAAATACATCACTTCACCTTAAACAAAAGATCGTTGGGTCATCAGGTTTGGTCAGAACAACAGCACAGAATATATTACAGAAATGAAGTCTTACCACATCCCACAAGGAGAAGAGACGTTTGCAATTTTGTTTGTTGGGAACAACCAAGTAATTCCACAAATCATAACCCTGAAGACAGAACATCCTTATACTCCCTTCCATGTAAGCAGACACAGAAGGTGAATTTGGAATTTCAAAGGTAAATGATACATATTGAAAAAGATGATAATACATTTAATGTAGCCAAAAGTTTTAAAAATTGTGCTCAATAGATTTTTCTTTTTAGAATGAGTAAGAAATGCTTTTTTTGAGTGTTTATTCAGGTAACTGAGATAAGGTTCTAGTTTACTATATGGTCTGATTTTAAAAAGGAACAAAAAATCTATTTACTGTATCTTTCTGTAATACAACTTGTACCTGATTCCAGAGGCATCTTTGTTAAACGCAAAGGTGAGCATTTCCCCACACCCCGGCTTAAAATCTTTCCCCATTACCTAAAGAGTAAATCCAAACATCGTGTTACGGTACGCAGGGTCCTACATGAGCTGATCCCGCCAATACTTCTAGCATGCCTCTCACCTTTCCACCACCTCTACTTGCTATGCCAGTGATGTACATATCCCTTACCCATCAGGACATACTCTGCAAATGCTGCACCACGTTCCCAGAACGTGCTCCTGTTTCTTTCTACAGTGCTCCAAAAGATTTCTAAGATTATTTAATTGTGACATATCACTGCATCCCAAAAGAAAAAAATAATGAACTTTTGGCATCAATGGAAATATTCAACTATGGGGATATATGCATTTATACATAAGTTACACATATTTAAATCCTGTGTGAGCAAGCATGTGTTTTTCCAGACTTAACAAACAACAACAAAACTTATCTGTCTTGATCCTATTCATAGACCTAAGGCAAAATAGAAATTACTGTAATAACAAACTCATAGAAATACATGAGCATAATAACAGACTGCGAATAGATTTAGTATTTTTCCATGTTCAGAAAACCAAGTCAGTGTAGCTCATATCCCTACCCTTCTTGTTTTATGGTTCTTGGCAATTCTTTTGATTATTTCTGTTCTCAGGCAGGGCTGCCAAATCCTTTTCTCAGCTCCATCTACTCCACAGTTGAGGTCTCTTCGGTTCCAGCTCTTGCTCTGCTGCCAAGCTCCCCTTCACTGCCTTGGCATCAAAGACGAAATGTGGCCAAGGAAGGAAGCTCCCTAGCCATCAGCATGTGCAGGGCAAATCGGAATTTCCTTAAATCCTTCTCCTTAAAAAGATCAAAGAGAGCATAGCTTTGCATCTTATAGTCCTTTTATTGAGAGTTTGTTTCTGCTTCTATTATGTCTGCCTCCTCCCCTGGTCCTTTTTCTTTATTTCTTCAATTATGTAAGCATAAAGTTGGTTTTTAAGTATGCAAGGACATAAAATACCAAGATTTTTAGTGTCTGTGCTGGCCAGAATGAAAATTAAGAGATCTGATGAGAGCTGAAATAACTGAGTTAGTAATTCTGATAAATATCCTGAACATACACTATGGTCTACAATTGAGTATATTGATTCTTAGAACTTACATTGCTGTGCCACACAGTATCCGAGAGGTTGGTTAAATGTTAGCATGTATTTTAGGCAAAAGGTCAGCAAGTTTCTAACTTTTAAGAAGTTTCTGCAAAATTATATCAGCCTCCCCAAAGGCCACCCCCACTTTTTTTTTTTAAATGATGTAATCAGAACTACTTTTCATTCTCTCAGGGATCCATCTATCTTCTGATAAACTTCCTATCTACTTTTCCAAATCAATGTGACCAGTGTATACTTTGATTAGAATTTCCTGTTTTAGAATCCATTACTTTAAAAACAATTTATAAAGGCAAAAGATTGTGGGATTTGTTCTCCTCAAAGGTATAAAGCACAAAGTGAGGCATTATTAATACTTCTGAACACACGTAACAAAAGAAATCATTCAGCACCATTTCAGCATATTCCCCACTCAGGAGATTCATGCATATTTAAATGAATTAATTTATTTTCTGCAATTTGCTCTTTAAGTGCTTAAGTGCTCATTTGCTGTTGCTTATTTCAAGATTCTGTGCCCTTGTTTTCTGAGTCACCAACTTATAGCTTGAGTGCTCCAGGTGTATTTATGCTCCCAAAGTATTTTAAATTACCCATTAGGAAATCCAATTTCCTATTTATAAGACTCAGAAGTGATTTTCCACTGTTACCTTTTTCTTAATTAAGAATATAGGCCTAAATTCACAGCTAAGTTTTTGGTACAATATTTATTTATTGGCTCTATGACAGTCAATATTATAGAATGTCACCAATATTAGACTCTCAGTCACTTAAGATGGGCTACTCTTGGATTCTATTGGGATTGACATTTTGGGTATCCATAAAAATCATCACCGTAACAACATCCACTACTTACACTGTGTGCCAAGCACTGGACATGCTCTATCTCATTTAGTCCTTTCAACATTCCTATGAAGAGTTATTATTTTCTCTATCATTATTTGTTTTACAGATGAGAAAATATAACTTAGAGAGGTGAAACACAAGGTCACATACCTAGCAAGTAGCAGAACCAATATTTAAAGCCCGCTCCGTCGTCCTTCCAAACTTTATAACGATCCATTTGTGTCTAAGGCATGTGATTGTGTTTTGGCAGGTATAGAAATGACTGACTGAGACCCAACTTCTGCTTTTAAAGACACTCAATAATCTCATTCAATAATTTCAGACAGTGATGATTGCAATAAAGAAAACAAAACAGGGTGATGTGCTGGAGAAGCTTTGTTGGTGGGTTGGTCATGCTAATGCAGATCTGGTTATTAGAAACAACCTCCTTAAAGAAGTAACATCTAAGCTAAGACTCAAAAAATACAATGTGGGACATCCACTGAAAGACAGGAAAAATGGTATTCCAGGCAGAAGGAAAAGCAGGTACAAAGGCCTAAGGCAGAAACTGAAAGGTCACTGAGACTAGAGTTAAGTGAGTGAAGGGAAACTGGCACCTAGGCTGGGGAAGAGAGAACAAACCAGGTCATGAGATGCAGGCAAGAGTGTGGCTTTTATGCTAAATGTGAAGGAAAGCCATTAGAGGGTGCCAAACTGGGGAGTGACGTAAGTAAGTTTTATTTTGGCTTCAAAAAGATTGCTCTGGTTGTTTTGCAAAGAATGATTAGACAAAGTGATCAGTAAGGAAGGAGACCACTGCAGGATTCCATGGTAGAGATCACCTAGACTAGGATGGGACTAGGAGATGGAGAAAAGGGAAGAATGAGTTTAAGGATTTGGGTTTGAGCTGTTGGGTAGATGGTGGTTTACTGACATGGGGAAAACCGAACAGGTGAGGCAAAAATCAGGTTGTCGTTTATGGTCACCGGGTTAGACAAGGTTTTTAGGCATTCATTCAACAAAGATTTACTGAACAACTCAGTGCTCTTGAGGGCACTAGAGATAAGTTGTTAACAAAGCAGATGAAGTTTCTATGCTCTAGTTAGCTTACATCCCAGGAATCTTGGTACAAATGGAATAATCAGAGAGGGCAGGAAGGGAACTATGTATTTGAGAAACAATGGCATTTAGATGTATTTAAAGCCATGGGTCATGGTAAGATCATTTAGGGAGAATTTACAGATAAAAAGAAGAAAAGGACCCAGGACCAGACCAAGCAAAGGGACATTTTTTATTGAGAAATGGCGTACGCAAAACATATTTGATGACTTCTAGTTTAAAAACTTGTCTTTTTTTTGAAAATACTGACTGACATGGCAAAGTGACCTCCCCTCTATCCCCTATTGTATTTTTAGATTGCTTAGATACAAGTACAAGAAATTTGTTGATGCGCTACTCTCATTTTCTTCTTCCATTCAATACCCTTTTGCTTTTTTTTTTTTTTAATTTTCTTTTTCTATTTTTTTTTTCGAGACAGAGTCTCACTCTGTCGCCCAGGCTGGAGTGCAGTGGCTCGATCTAGGCTCACTGCAAGCTCCGTCTCCCAGATTCACACCATTCTCCTGCCTCAGCCTCCCGAGTAGCTGGGACTACAGGGGCCTGCCACCATGCCTGGCTAATTTTTGGTATTTTTAGTAGAGACGGGGTTTCACCGTGTTAGCCAGGATGGTCTCGATCTCCCGACCTCATGATCCACCTGCCTCGGCCTCCGAAAGTGCTGGGATTACAGGTGTGAACCACCACGCCCGGCCAATACGTTCTTGTTTTCTTTTTAAAGAGATAGAGTCTCACTCTGTCGTCCAGGCTGGTGTGCAGGGGCACGATCATGGCTCACTGCAGCCTCGAACTCCTGGACTCAGGCAACCCTCCCACTTCAGCCTCCCGAGTAGCTGGAACTACAGGTGCACACCACCATGCCTAATTTTTTGTATTTTTGCCCAATACCTTCTTTATTAAAAATTCATTCTTTTGGCCAGGGCACTGACTCATGCCTGTAATCCCAATACTTTGGGAGACCAAGGCAGGTGGATTGTTTGAAGCTAGGACTTTGAGACCAGCTTGGGCCACATAGCAAGATCACATATCTACAAAAAATTATCTGGGCATAGTGGCACATGCCTCTAGTTCCAGTTACTTGGGGAGCTGAGGTGGGAGGATTGCTTGAGCCTAGGAGGCAGATGTTGCAGTGAGCCATAATCGTGCTACCACACTCCAGCCTGGGTGAGAGAGCGAGACCTTGTCTCAGAGAAAAAAATTAATTCATCAGAAAAATTACACAGAAAACCCAACTAACTATAAAACTTGAACCATGAAGCTCTAAATAATTTGTGACTGCCATAACAATTAATGGTAAATCTGTAACAGCAGCTGAATCCATGAGTCACCTTCAGATGAGGGGGAAAGCACATACAATTTCCATAACGCTGATTCTAACTCCACAGGTTTCTTTTCAGTTCAAGGAAGTACACTAAATTGACAGTGAGAGGCATGATTTTTAGGAGTAAATTTTAATCTGCTTTAATGAGTTTTTAAAAACTCAGTCAAAATCATGAGTACTTACACTTAGTTACAGAGTACTTGGGGCCTAATTGACAAGTGATTGAGACATATTGTGGCACTTGAGAACCGCTGCCCAAGGGCAGGCTTGCCCACAGTCAGGGCCTCCAGTCCACTCTGCCCACTATTTCCTACTACAATTCTGCTAGAGGGAAATTCAGAACTGAAAAATACTTTATGTTCAACATAGTTTAGTCCATGTTGTGGTTCAAAATGTAACCCACTCTCCTTGATAAGTATTTTAAACTTTCTAAATCCTACCCTTAACCCAGTGCCTTATCCCCGATGCTGTGGTCTCTGTCTTGGTAAAGACTCTTGCCACCTATCAGTTCTGTCATCTCTGAGTGTCTTCACCTTCATACCTAACTCATCATCTCTCATTTCGTTGTCTCTACTTTCAAAGGTGGAGCTAAACACACTTTTCTCGAAGGGCTCCCATCCCCAGTCTGAATTCCATCTTCCATCTTGAGGAATACCACTTCCACACTTCACCCATCCTTTCCCCGTTTCTTCCATCTCTCCCTGGATCTCTGGAGTTTCCTGGTCCTTTTGATCTTTCAACATAAGTAGACTCCTTTCATCTTGGACATAAAGGCCTTCTTGATAATGAAGCCTTCACATGTATATATCTTCTCATATCACTGATAAACTTCTTTTTAAAAGTTTAATTTCCTGCCATTGTGCTTTCAGTATGTTTTTAATACCTCCTTAATGAATAGAAATCTGGCTTCTGTTCCTACTATGCTATTACTCCTCTGCATTTTTAAGAGTGACCAATGCATTTCTTTAGTAAAAATCCAACAATTTTAATCTCTTTTACATAAGATCCAACTTATTAATCCCTCTTTCAATGATAGCTTAATTCTTGGCTAACTTCTTCCTGGCCTGCTCACCGTTCACTCTTTGCCTTTTGTTTTTTATATAGGATCTGCTATTTTTTTTTTTTTTTTTTTACTAATCTGTAAATATGACAGTTTCCCAGGGCTAAGTAACCCCTTTAGTTACTTCTTCTAGTTAACAATGACAGAGAAATGTGTAAGATCTGAATATTTAAAAGCAGCAACCCTGATAAGAAATCCTATTATTAATCAATGCCAATTAAGCATCTAATATTAAGGATTTACTAACTACGATGAGCAAAACATGAAGGGCCTATAAACTAAAAGAGTATACAACCTAGTTATGTAGATAAAACATACAAAATAACTGGAACAAACATAAACCCACCTTTTACATATGTGTAACACCATTACGAATGCCTGTTGGAAACAGTAGAGTAAGGTGAACTAAGATTTTTCTGTTTTCTTTCTTTTTGCAAAGCAAATATTACAAGTTTCATGAATGAGGACACAATAATGCAAGAACCAATTTCATTTGCCTTTGTTTTTACAATGATGTCTGCTCTCAAATAAGAGTTCTGTACAATTTTCAGCATCTAAAAGGAGAATGAATCTAAATGAAATGCTTTAGACCTTGACTCACGCTCAGAGCAGTAAAGAAATGAGTCAGAAAAAAACATCCTAGGGAGCAGAGGATGCATTTAAAACTCCAAATCCCCCGAAAGGCAATAATTTCCAAAAATTCCTCCACTGCCACTCCCTAGGTAAGCCCCTGTCTGGACACACACAGAGACACACACACATACACTCACTCAGACTCAAAAACCCTCTTTTGTAATAGGCACATTTTTGGATCGTATTACTTTAAACCATATCAACTTCTGGCAGGGTTTGCAAGTATTTTTACCCTTAAAATGGAACTTATCCTTCATTCTTCTAATTGCTTTAAAAGTTATAATAAAGAACTCTTGCTTGAACATTTTTTACCATAGCACAATTAGTTCCGTGTCCCATTACAGAACTCGTGTGGGTAAAATGCACTTGCTGATTTTAAAAAGGTGGTTAATTACATAAAATATGCAAAGGTACTATTCTGGATGACTAGGAGGGGACACAGAAGACAAGCACCAAATTCTTGAGGCAAATCCATTCTAGTCAAGGGAATAAGAAATATACACAAATAATGATGCTATTTATATGGAAGAGTTACATGGTATACTTTAGGAATTCAAAGGAAAGAGAAATTGCATTTAGTTATAAAAGCTTCATGAAGGATGTGATCTGAAATGGCCCTTGTAGATGAGTAACATTTGTGCAGGGGGAGACGTTAAAGGGAGAACACATTCTGAGAATACCAGGGGGTGAGGTCATGTATTATGGGGAAAATGGAATATGTGTTGGACCTCAAATGCTTTTAATAGGCTCTCAGGAGGAGAGGATAAAATAGTACAATTCTATTACTGAGAATAAAGAAGAAAGACTAATGCTAGAGATGAAAAAGATTTTGAGATAGTTTAGTTCAAAGTTACTCATTTTAAAGAAAGAGAGCTACATAGTAAGGATAGGGGAGAACAGAGCGCATATTTATATCACCATTGCAGCAGCAGGGGATGAGGAGGAGAAGGCTGCCAGAGCTAGCTCTGTCCTCATTCACTTTGTCCTACAAGCACAAGCCAGACTTCTCCTCCCTTTGGTACTGCACCCACCTATAGGGAATGAGCCTCATTTATTAAATTTATATGGTAGTTGGCATGTACCATGGCAGCAGGAAATGGCATCTCTTCACTGTTATCTCTAGAAAATCAGCATTTGGTGGGATACAAGTTAGTGAAAACACCACAAGTTTCAATTTACATTTTTCTTAATTGTATGTCAGATTTCAATTGTCCACAATTTGTTTCTCTCTCCTGGCAGACTTTCCACTTGTACACTGCACATAACTAATTTCTTAAAGGTTAAGATAAAAATTAGTTATCATCTGTAGTTGTTTAAGAAAAGAGAGTCTGAAAGCATTCTTTTTTCCTAAGCACATGAAGACACACACACACACACTTTTTTCCTAAACACGTTTTTCCCTTTTTCCTAAGCACATTAAGACACACACACACACACACACACACACACGAAAAACCGGATTTAGAGATAGATAGTTGCGAGGGAAAACTTGTTAATTTGAAATTAAATGTGTCCAGAAAATAGGTGAGTGGCAAAGGCTGCTGTGCTTCTCCAGAAGTGAAACCTTGCAATTAAGATGAGAAGACAGCCCAAGTGTGACGCTGGCGCTGGAGCGGCCGGGGGATCTCAACACGGCTAATGAATCATCATCAAAGTGATTTATTGACTGCGGCCAGAGCTTCAACTCTGTCTCAGTGTAAATGAGGAATAATAATAATTTCCCAGTACTCGCTTGGCTGTGAACTTCTAAAGAGTGAGAACCTTCAGCAGGAGATGATAAACTGTAGTGATGCCATAGGACGTCTTCTTCCACAATGTTCAAAGCCACTGTCATACAGTGAACTACATCTCATAAAACCGACAAGAGACGGGTATGCACAACGCGATGTCATCCCAACACAGCTTCCAAGCAAAAGTCCCCTGAGTCTCATCCTATTACAGCTTCTCATGGGGACCGTTCATTGCTGCCACACAGGAATGTAAGGAGGAGAGGGATGCCTCCTTAGAATATCAAGCTCCTGACATTTAGGATCTGGACTCACGCGCTTCTCTGTGGCTTCAGCGACCATGGTTTTCAAACCAAAAGAAACCTTGGATACCATCTATCATCATATATACAATCAGTCCTCTTTGTATATATGAAGAATCCATGTTACTTGTAGTACCATTTAATTCATTAGTTACAGAGTCAGACTTTGAACCCTATTGTCATCTTCCCTCCTCATTATGAATTGAAGTAAACAGATACATACTTTGTTTCTGCTACATTTTAAGGAACAGTCAAGGTATAAATTACATACAGAGAAGGTAAGTTATATATTATGCAATAATCTCCAGAGATTTTTTTTTGTCAAGATGTTTAAAGCACTGATTTGAGTGGGAGCTAACACTGAGTACACACGGACACAAAGAAGGGAACCAGAGACATCGGGCCTACTTGAGGGCAGAGGGTGGGAGGCGGGTGGGAGGCGGGTGGGAGGAGGGTGAGGATTGAAAAACTGCCTATCGGGTACCATACTTACTACCTGGATGACAAAATAATATGTATAGCAAACCCCCCAACATGTAATTTATCTAGAGAGCAAACCTGCCATGAACCCTAAAGCTAGAAGTCAAAAAACAAAAAAAATTAAAAAGGCATGGATTTGTTCTTGTTTTTGGCTCTTATAATATTCTCAAAGCCAGAGGATCTTTACCCTCTCTTGCTAGTTCAATCCTACTCTTTTCTCTGGAATGGAAAGAAAATACTGTATAATTCCCTGACGCACCCCTTTAGCTTGGGAATTTACCTGCTCTCCATGTAACCTATGCCTTGATTTTCCTTGAAGTATAGCTATATATGCATATAGCTATGCAAATACTTCACTACTATTTGGGATACATGGGTATATGTAAAAGGTCTCTGATGCAGATACTTCTATTTTGGTCTCCATAATGGGCATTTCTCCAGTTTGATCTCCCCTCCTTTTAATTTAAACCTAGTGTTCTCCAAATATTTTTAGCTTTTTTACAGTTTGATCTCCAAACAATCTAGAGGACAAAGTGGTGGCTCACTGCTGAAAAAGCCCTGCATGCAGTGTAAACCTCCTGCAGCCTTGTCTTCCTAGCTCTATTAACATTGTTCTTTTTCACCCTTTAATCTTTAGACACTCAAAAACACTGTTTTAACCATTTATTCCCCTTTGTGGATGCTAAATATATCTTTTTTCTTCCCTCGAATCCTTACCACAAATTCTTGGAGAACCACGATGAATGCTAACAATTTATAATTACCCTAGAAATCAGATATCACAGTAAGCCTAAGTTACACTTAAATTACACACTACAAATCTACTAGCTTGTGCACTTGTGGTTCATGGAGTGGAAAGGAATCTCTTGGATGGTGCCTGAAACCTGATTTTAACTGCTAAGATGTTTGCTATCTTGTTTGTCTTTGAGCCGGCCCAATTTCAGAAAAATTTCATTGTCATTTAGAAAAATGACTTGGAAATAGGCTATTTCACTACTACCACATCCAACGATTTTAAAAATGGTTATGTAAATAACTAATGATGAATCCATTTTATGTATATAGAGGACTAGGTTAGAAAATATGAACTTAGACAATTCATCTGGCATCTTGTGTCTCATCTTGTTTTCTCATCTATAAAATGGGGATGATAATACTTCACATTTAAAAAAGGTTGATATTATACCAGAATGAGAATGAGTATAGAGATACAACAGGTAGGAGATACATGAAAGACTTATTCAAGATTTAAAGTATTGTTATTTGGAACCAGCAGAAAATTATATCCAGTGTGCCATTCCCAGAGCAAAAGTTTATTCACCTGCACCCTTGATTCTTTCTCTACAACTCATGTAATCACCAAAAGTTATTGCTTTCTTGTCTCAGTGTATTAACTGGATGGTTGAATGCACAGAGCTCACATCTGAATCAGCACAAAACTGAAACCCAGAGGAGGGGAAATAGAAAGGGAGTCGGGCTTACACTGAAGTCATTCTCATCACTCAACGTGCCCACACAAATACTGGGAAATCAACTCATTTAAACAACTTGGGAGGCAAGCTTGGGTTATAATAATGTTCTTGAATGCAGGTCAGTGAAAAATTGGCCTGCACACAAATTCCCACTTGTCATATTCTCTACAAATGCACATTGATTGTTTTCATATTTAAATGCCCAGAATCAACCACAACAAATGTGTCAGGTTGTTGCGAGTTTTTTAAAAAACAAAACAGGATGAACTATGGCATATGGTAAATTATTGTGGGTTCCTTGTGCTCTCAGCAGAATCACAAAAGGGCAAGGACTTAAGAGAAATCATTTGTGTCTGGTTCAAATCCTACAACATAGAAAATGGAACTGGAGCTGAGTTAATGAAATATATTATTAAATCCCAGTTTGTAGTTGGCTGTGTGTCATTAGTCTTATATGCCTGAAAAATGTAGTATTTGCTTACAAGTAGAATACTATACAGTCTTCAGAATGACATAATCTAAAAAGTAATCTTGTTTTTCCGTGTATTTTTCTCTATAGACAAATAATATCTCCTGCTAATCAACCCCCTCCCCACACTTTGCCTTCTTCATAAAAGCTAGGTCCGAGAGCTTCCCACGATTGCCAGCTGGTGCAATCATTCCTCAATGCTAATACTCGGAACTCATCAAAGGTGGCAGTTTTGTGGTCTATAATCCCCAACTGACCAAATCTCATACGTAATAAAAAACCTAAACTTGTATTATATCAGAGTGTAGGTATATGCGGGTGTGGAAGGGGGAGGAGTAAGAGTGATAGCCATGTAAGTAGTCCACCAGCAGTTTAATGGTGTATGTGTGCTCAGAGAAGTCATTGATAATAAGGACCTTTAGAGTCCTGAGACTCTGATAACATGCGGCCAGAAAGGCAACAAAAACAGGAGGGAGAAAGTTTTGACTCTTTCTTGTTGCCTTTACAGCCACATGTTTTTAGAGTCTCGGGAATTTTATTTCCACATCAGATTGCTGCCTGTTATTGGTATAAAGTATCAGTCTCTCGTATAAGAACAACTTAAAAAGGCTAAAAACAGAAAAGACATGCAAAAAGGCTGGGAAACATATGTCTAAGAAGAGACTGGATAAAACCTGCCACAGAGTGAAGAGTGAGCTCTAGCCTAAGTAAACCTGCTGACTTCCTTCCTGGTTCTGAAGCATCAAAATACACACGTGGCAAAACTTACTACAATTTTGGAGAACAGTAACTACATTGAATGGAAAAGGTAGACCTCATTCCCTGTTGAGGGCATCAAATAAATCCTACTTGCAAAATTTGTTTTGTTTATGTCTTGATTCTTAACTGCAAGTTACCTGAGGCAAGATGAATGACAACACTAAGTTTTTCAAATAGAATACAATTATATACCGTTTTTATACATCGATTCAATTGTACAGATTCAATGGCATATAATTGTATTCAAGAAGTATTATTTTAGAAAATCACTGGATTACTATCTGATATAGTAGGCTGAATAATGGACCACTAAAAAGTCCTCAATTGTAATCCCCGGAACCTGCCAATATGCTACTTACATGGCAAGAGGAACTTTACAGATGTGATTAAGTCTGATTAATCTGATTAGTCTTGGGACGGGATTATCCTTGGCTATCCAGGTGGTCCTAGTGTAGTCACAAGTTCCTTAAAAGAAGAAGGCAGAAGACTCAGAGTCAGAAAAAAAAAAAAAAGTGACACCAGAAAGAGAGGTCAGAAAAAGAGGGAGAGAGATTTGAAGCTGCTATGCTGCCAGTCTTGAGGATGGAGGAAAGGGTTAGGAGCCAAGAAGTGTGGGTGGCCTTTAGAAGCTGGAAAGGGTTAGAAAAAACTTCCCTCTTGCAGCTTGCAGGAGGAATGAAGCTCTGCCAATGCTTGTATTTTAGTCTCATGAGACTCATTTTTGACTGTCCTCCAAACTGTAAAATCATGACTTTGTGTTGTTTTAGGCCACTAAGTTTGTGGTAATTTGTTACAGCAGCAATAGGGAACTGATAAATCTGAAAACTTACATCATGAAAATTTTAACAAATATTGTCAATTTTTTTCATCTACCTATCATCAAACAACACCCATTCTAAGTCTGTCTGTTATCTCTCTATCTATTTATCTATCTTCAAATATACTGTCAAACATAAAAAATTTTCTACACTGTAAAATTCCCTCTATGTCACGTACCCCACATTCTGTATCTTGCCTGCCAACTCTACTTTAATTGGGTTGTTCCTGCTGCCTTGCTGACTTCCCCAGTTTCTCTCTTGAATACCTCAACTTGAAGAGCAAATCTCAGTATTATCCTGATACTAAAACCAGACAAAGACATCACATGAAGAGAAAGCCACAGAACAATACCTGTTAGGAATATGGATGCAAACATCCTCAACAACATAGTCAGAAACCAAATCCAGCAACATATAACAGTAATGATACATTATGACCAAGTGGGATTTATTCCAGGGATGCAAGTTTGATTTAATATCTGAAATTCAATTAATGTAAAACATATCAATAGAAGTTTTAAAATCAAATGTTCATTTCAACAGATGCAGAAAGATACAAAATCCAACACACTTTCATGATATAACCACTCAACAACTGGAAATAGCAAAGAACCCCCTTAATCTAATAAAGGACATCTATGAAAAGCCCACAGTTAACATCATTCTTAAGAACAGAAAACTAGATGCTTTCTTCCTAAGATCAGGAACATAACAAAGATGTACACTCTCAACACTTTTATTCAATATTGTACCTGAGGTTCTAGCGAGGACAATTTGGCAAGAAAAAGGAAGAAAATGCATCCAGATTTGAAAAGAAGTAAAAGTACTTCTATTTGCAGAAATCATGATCTTGTATATAGAAACTCCTAAGAAATCTGCTAAAAATCCATTAGTCTTAAGGAATAAGTTCAGCAAGGTTGCAGGATACAAGATAAATTGCAGAAATCAATTGTATTTCTATACACTTGGAATTAAACCCAAAATAAAATGAATTCCATTCACTACAGCATAAAAACAATACTAAATAATGTAACAAAAGAAGTATACAACTTGTACTATTTAAAAAGAACATGAAAAGAAATTAAATGAGATCTAAATAAATGAAAAGCATTCCATGTTCATGGATTAGAAGACAACATTGTTAAGATGGTTATACTCTCCAAAATACTCTACAGAATCAACACAATCTCTATTAGAATCCTAGCTATAACTTACACAAAATTACTTAAATATAAAAATTAATTCAACACAGATCCAGAACCTAAATGTAAGCACAAAACTGTACATTCTTAAAAGAAAATGTAAGTTTTCATGACATTGGATTTGACAACCAATTCTTAGATATGATGCAAAAAGCATAAGTAACAAGTGAAAAAAATAAGACTTTGTCAACAGTAGTTTTTCTTTTTGCTTTAAAGAACACCATTAAGAAAGCAAAAAGAGCCCACAAAATGGAAGAAAATATTTTCAGATCATATATCTGATAAGGGACTTGTATCTGGAATACATAAAGAACTCTAACAACTCAATGATTAAAAGACAAATAGCTCAATTAAGAAATGGCTAAAGAATCTGCATGAAAGGTATACAAATGGCCAAGAAGTACTTGAAAATACATTCCACATCATTATTCATCAGGGAAATGCAAATCAAAACCACAATGAGATATCACTTCACACATGCCAGATTGGCTAGAATCAAAAAGTGAGATAAAAATAATAAGTGTTGGCAAGGACATGGCAAAATTGGAACTCTCATACACTGTTGGCAGGAATAGAAAATGGTGTAGTCCCTTTGGAAAACAGTCTGGAAGTTCTTCAGCAATTAAAGATACAATAATGCCCAGAAACTCTACTCCTAGGTATATACCCCTCAAAAATGAAGACATGTCTACACAGAAATTTGTACATGAGTATCTATAGCAGCATTACTTGCAATAGGCAAAAGGTGGAAACAATTCAAATGCCCATTAATTGACAAATAGATAAAATGTGGTATAACCATATGGTGGAATATTATGCAGCCATGTAAGTGAATGAAATACTGACAAATTTCTACATTGATGAACCTTAAAATGTTATGCTAAGTGAAAGAAGTCAGTCACAAAAATCCCTATATTACATGATTCAATTCATATGAAAGACTAGAATATCTAGAGATAGGAAATAGAGAAGTAGTTGCTTAGGGCTAGAGCAAAAAGGCATGGGGGGGATGTGAGGGTGACAGCTAAAGGATACATGGTTTCTTTTTGAAAAGATGAACTTTCTAAATTTGTCTGGTGATGACTGTACACATATTTTAATACACTAAATCCAATTTTTTTTTTTTTTTTTTTTTGAGACAGAGTCTTGCTCTGTCGCCCAGGCTGGAGTGCAGTGGCATGATCTCGGCTCACTGCAAGCTCTGCCTCCCGGGTTCAGGCCATTCTCCTGCCCCAGCCTCCCGAGTAGCTGGGACTACAGGCGCCCGCCACCATGCCCGGCTAATTTTTTGTATTTTTAGTAGAGACGGGGTTTCACTGGGTTAGCCAGGGTGGTCTCGATCTCCTGACCTCGTGATCTGCCCGCCTCGGCCTCCCAAAGTGCTGGGATTACAGGCGTGAGCCACCGCGCCCGGCCTACTAAATACTATTGACTATACATGTTCAATGAGTGAATTGTATGATATGTGAATTATATCTCAAAAAATGTTTAAAAAAAACATATCATTTCGTTCTAGCTTAGTCTACTAGAACTAGAATCAATGCTTGCCTCCTAGAAGATCATACCGGTCTGATTCCTCTTGCTTACCTTGGCTCAAAGTCATGGCCATGATCCTTTTTAGACAAAGATAGCATAGCATAGCTCTTTGTGAGACCTCTTCCCAGTACACAAATACGGAAGTGACATAACCAGCCCTTTGTTTCCAGGGCTACCCCTGACCTCTACTTGGAAGTTAAATGGTATTTTGCAATAACAAAATACACTTTTTTAAAAAGACCGCAACAGCTTGTGATCCTTAAAATATCATGAGTGACTGCAATTTGGTTTGTTAACAAATAGTTTTTAAAAGGTAAAATAATGGCTCATACAAATATAAAATGAACATGACAGATATTTTATTTAAGTCATTAATTAATGAGAAAACCTGTAAATAAAAAAAAAAACTGCTTCAAGGAGACTCTACAAAGGACAGACACATCTACAGATAATTGGGAATGCTGACATGAGTTTGCTAATGAATAGGAAACTGGCCAATTCTATAGGGTGAGAATCCACTGCATTTTAACAGAACAAAAGCTCATTTGACTTATACAAACAGTAATCATTTACATTACAATCAGCCCCTTACAAGTTAGCTTCTAACTAAACAGAGTTGTAAAATAATCAAAAACAATGAAGGGCTTAAGTTTCCTATAGAATCAGATAACCCTGAAAGGATCTTTTAGAGACCAGGCCTAACAATCCATCAGAAGACATTCAGGAATCTTTCTGTTTCGTATTTTTCACTGTTCACTTTTATTTTAGGTTCAGGGGTACATGGTCAGGTTTGTTGTATAGGTAAACTGCATTTTATGAAGGTTTGGTATACAGATTATTTTATCACCTGGGTAATAAGCATGGCCCCTGATAGGTATTTTTTCTGATCCTCTCCCTAATCCCACCCTCAAGTGGGCCCCAGTGTCTACTGTTCCACTCTTTGTGTTCATGTATTCTCATTGTTTAGCTCCCACTTATAAGTGAGAATACTTCGTGCGTTATTTGGTTTTCTGTTCCTACATTAGTTTGCTTTGGATAATGACCTCCAGCTCCATCCATGTTAATGCAAAGGACATGATCTCATTCTTCTTAATGGCTGCATAGTGCTCCATGGTTTATATGTATCACATTTTCTTTTCTTTTTTTTTAAAAAAAAAAAACAAACTTTTCTTTTAGGTTTAGGGGTACATAATGAAGGTTATATAAATAAACACATGTCATAGGGGTTTCTTTTGCATATTATTTCATTACTCAAGTACTAAGCCAAGTACACAATAGTTATCTTTTCTGCTCCTCTCCCACTTCCCACCCTCCCCCTTCAAGTAGACATCAGTGTCTATTGTTTCCTTCTTTGTGTTCATAAGTTCTCATCATTTAGCTCCCACTTATAAGTGAGAATATGTGGTATTTGGTTTTCAGTCCCTGTGTTAGTTTGCTAAGGATAATAGTCTCCAGCTCCATCCATCATGTTCCCACAAAAGACATGATCTTGTTCTTTTTTATGGCTGCATAGTATTCCATGGTGTATATTTATCACATTTTCTTTATCCAATCTACTGTTGATGGGCATTTAGGTTGATTCCATGTCTTTGCTATTGTGAATAGTGCTGCAATGAACATATGCATGTGTCTTTATGACAGAAACATTTATATTATTTTGGGTATTTATTCAAAAATAAGATTACTGGGTCAAATAGTAATTCTGTTTTAAATTCTCTGAGGAATTTCCACACTGCTTTCCACAATGGCTGAACTAATTTACACTTCCTCAGCAGAGTATAAAGCATTCCCTTTTTTCTGTGACCCTGCCAGCATCTTTTATTTTTTGACCTTTTAATAATAGTCATTCCAACTGGTGTGAGATGGTATCTCACTGTGGTTTTGATTTGCATTTCTCTAATGATTAGTGGTGTTCAGCATTTTTTTAATATGCTTGTTGGCCACATGTATATCTTCTCTCGAAAAGTGTCAGTTCATGTCCTTTGTCTACTTTTTAACAAGGTTGTTTGTTTTTTGCTTGGAATACAGCTAACCATTCACAATTGCTTCAAAGAGAATAAAATACCTAGGAATCCAACTTACAAGGGACGTGAAGGACCTCTTCAAGGAGAACTACAAACCACTGCTCAAGGAAATAAAAGAGGATACAAAGAAATGGAAGAACATTCCATGCTCATGGGTAGGAAGAATCAATATCGTGAAAATGGCCATACTGCCCAAGGTAATTTATAGATCCAATGCCATCCCCATCAAGCTACAAATGACTTTCTTCACAGAATTGGAAAAAACTACTTTAAAGTTCATATGGAACCAAAAAAGAGCCCACATCGCCAAGTCAATCCTAAGCCAAAAGAACAAAGCTGGAGGCATCACACTACCTGACTTCAAACTATACTACAAGGCTACAGTAACCAAAACAGCATGGTACTGGTACCAAAACAGAGATATAGATCAATGGAACAGAACAGAGCCCTCAGAAATAACGCTGCATATCTACAACCATCTGATCTTTGACAAACCTGAGAAAAACAAGCAATGGGGAAAGGATTCCCTATTTAATAAATGGTGCTGGGAAAACTGGCTAGCCATATGTAGAAAGCTGAAACTGGATCCCTTCCTTACACCTTATACAAAAATTAATTTGAGATGGATTAAAGACTTAAACGTTAGACCTAAAACCATAAAAATCCTAGAAGAAAACCTAGGCATTACCACTCAGGACATAGGCATGGACAAGGACTTCATGTCTAAAACACTAAAAGCAATGGCAACAAAAGCCAAAATTGACAAATGGGATCTAATTAAACTAAAGAGCTTCTGCACAGCAAAAGAAACTACCATCAGAGTGAACAGGCAACCTACACAATGGGAGAAAATTTTCCCAACCTTCTAATCTGACAAAGGGCTAATATCCAGAATCTACAATGAACTCAAACAAATTTACAAGAAAAAAACAAACAACCCCATCAAAAAGTGGGCAAAGGACATGAACAGACACTTCTCAAAAGAAGACATTTATGCAGCCAAAAAACACATGAAAAAATGCTCACCATCACTGGCTATCAGAGAAATGCAAATCAAAACCACAATGAGATACCATCTCACACCAGTTAGAATGGTGATCATTAAAAAGTCAGGAGACAACGGGTGCTGGAGAGGATGTGGAGAAATAGGAACACTTTTACACTGTTGGTGGGACTGTAAACTAGTTCAACCATTGTGGAAGTCAGTGTGGCGATTCCTCAGGGATCTAGAACTAGAAATACCATTTGACCCAGCCATCCCATTACTGAGTATATACCCAAAGGACTATAAATCATGCTACTATAAAGACACATGCACACGTATGTTTATTGCGGCACTATTCACGATAGCAAAGACTTGGAACCAATCCAAATGTCCAACAATGATAGACTGGATTAAGAAAATGTGGCACATATACACCATGGAATACTATGCAGCCATAAAAAATGATGAGTTCATGTCCCTTGTAGGGACATGGATGAAATTGGAAATCATCATTCTCAGTAAACCATCTCAAGAACAAAAAACCAAACACCGCATATTCTCACTCACAGGTGGGAATTGAGCAATGAGAACACATGGACACAGGAAGGGGAACATCACACTCTGGGGACTGTTGTGGGGTGGGGGGAGGGATAGCTTTAGGAGATATACCTAATGCTAAATGACGAGTTAATGGGTGCAGCACACCAGCATGGCACATGTATACATATGTAACTAACCTGCACATTGTGCACATGTACCCTAAAACTTAAAGTACAATAATAATAAAATAAAAAATAAAAAGATCTCTACAATGACAATTGCAAAACATTGCTCAAAGAAATCAGAGATGACAGAAACAAATGGAAAAAGATTGCATGCTCATAAATAGGAAGAATCAATATTGTTAAAATGGCCATACTGTCCTAAGCAATTTAGAGATTCAATGCTATTCCTATTGGACTACCAATGATATTCTTCACAGAATTAGAAAACACTATTTTAAAGTTCTTATGGAACCAAACAAATAGCCTGAATAGCCAAGGCATTCTTAAGCAAAATGAACAAAGCTGGAGACATCGCCTGACTTGAAGCTATGCTACAAGGGTACAGTAACCAAAACAGCATGGTACTGGTACAAAAACAGACACATAGACCAAAGGAACAGAACAGAGAGCCCAGAAGTAATACCACACACCAATAATCATCTGATCTTCAGCAAAGCTGACAAAAACAAGCAATGGGGAAAAGACTCCCTATTTAATAAATGGTGCTGGGGTAGCTGGCTAGCCATATGTAGAAGATTGAAACTGGACCCCTTCCTTACACTACATGCAAACATCAACTCAAGATGGAGTATAGACTTAAATGTAAAACCTAAAACTATAAAAATCCTGGGGATAACCTAAGAAATACCATTCTGGACACAGAATCCAGCAAAGATTTCATGACGAAGACACTAAAAGGAATTGCAAAAAAACCAAAAATTGATAAATGGGACCTAATTAAACTAAAGAGCTTCTGCAGAGCAAAAGAAACTGTCAAGAGAGTAAATAACCTACAGAAAGGGAGAAAATATTTGCAAACTATGCATCTGACAAAGGTCTAATATACAGAGGCTATAAGGAACTTAATTTTCTATTCGATTTGATCTATCAAATTTCATCAGTTCTAACATGGATATTTTCCTATATCTGCAATTATAATCAGTATATTTTTTCTTAGTATACATAAAATAATACACATCTTACAATCAATGGCATCGTAAATGTGATAAAATGCAATCATTTCACCAACTCGTTAACTCGAGAAAAGGGTTTGGGGGTGGAAGACCTCAGCTAGCATCTATTTTAGGAAGGACCAGAGGGGAAAAGATTGCCAATGCCAATTTTATTGTCACCTTTGATCTGTAATGCATCTTTTTTTTTTCTGGAAAAATGTTTTAACATATTTAATTCAATTCAGAGTAAGTTATTGATTATAGAAGACTTACAGTATGAAAGACATCGTCCTTGACTCAGACAAGAAATACTGATGTCACAGTTTCAGAGTGTCTTTTTTAAGCACTGGTCTGCAAAATCAATAATTAATATAATAACAAAGACATCTAAAAACACAAAACATCTCACACATTAGTGGCACTAGCTCACAAGAGGTTATAACCTAAGTGGGAATAGCTATAGCTATACTATGACAACTGCCTACAATCACTTTGTGAGTTGCAGTGGAGTGAGAATTAAGAGCATTTCTCACTGAAAATGCATTATTAGCAAGTGTAATTTTACAGATGCATGAACTGTTCCCTTGTTAGGCTGACACTTAAAAATTTTAATAGAAAACTCCTGCAGAAAACCATGGTACCTGTATATGCTTATTACAGCTTTTTTATTTTCATAGAGATGAAAAATCTTTTCAAACTGTTTTCTCATAATTTCTCTCTTTCAAAACTCTTTCCCCTAGGTTAAAAGAGTTGAGTCTCTTTTAGTCAATGCTGAGAAGTTATTTCCTTGTAATTTACTTCTATATTTCTTTGAAAGAAACGTAAAAGAAAGAACAATGAATACATAATTTCAATCTCAATATGAGTGCTATATAAAGGGGCCTGGGCAAATGGAAGGCAACTCCATTTAATATTTTCCTTAGGCAAAAGTGTAGAAAAGTTAAAAGTTCTGTCCGTCAGAATTTCACTTTTCTTGCCATTACTTTCCATTCTGTGCCATTATCTTCTCTTTCATATCACCTTTGCTTTCCCATGTAGTTACCTTCCTCCTATCTTCTCTTTATCCCAAATTTACATTCTCTTTATTCCAAATTTAAATTTTTTAAACATCAACTTATTTTATATAAGTCCTTCACTTACTAATTGGAAAGAAAGATAAATAGTATTGAAGACTTGATTTCAAATTTTGAGTGCATTAATCCATAATTATGTAAATTTAGGACAATTAGAGATTTTAATTACTATTTCCATATCTGAAAAATACAGACAATCCAACCTGTCACACAGACCTATTGTAATATTTAAAAGACTCTTTAAAAATGTGAAATATCATATGAACATTAATATTACAATTCTGATTATTGTTCCCATCCTTTGTGAAAAGTCAAAAACTTCTGGAAATACCTCAAACCCATACATAGAGTATACTGCCACTTGACTGTATAGGTATTACATGGAATATCAACCTAAATACACCCTGCTAAATTCACCAGGATTATCTAGGAAGGAAACCCAACTTTGAGCTATTAACACCCATTAACACAAATTTATAAATCAGATTAAGTAGCTATCTCCTGGCAGGAGACTGAAAGACTGGAGTAGTTTTAGTAAATTATTGAAGAGAATCTTTGTTCTGGGAATATGTAGAGTATGGAACATGGCTGAGTAGGGAGACAAGGGGAATGGGGAGGATGAAGCTATCATGAGGCAGAAGCCAGTGTGCTGGGTTCTGAAAAATATACAAGAAGGGGCAGAATTCTAGGGTTAATGATTAGGATGAGCAGTGGCTCCATTTAGAACTTCAAAAATCAGTGTAAGACTGGAATTCAGATTTCCCAAAGGTGAAAATATGAGTGTTGGAATGTTTACAATAATGATTTGTATGTTTCCATGAGTTAAAGTTTGAATAGAGTCACTTCAAAATATAATTGTGGCCTCTGAAAAACCTTGCCAGAGCCTTTGCTGTTAACTTTTCCCCTTCAGAGGGTTCCCTGATGCTACTCTTGTCCTACTCAAGCAACCTCAACTAGGAGATGTGGAAGATTTCCATTCTGGCCATATGGTAGCCCATATATCCTGAAATTCTCCTGATACCAGACTCTTAGACATAATACATAACTTATTATAAATGTTCTGTAACTAACATGCTAAGCTCACAAGAAAATAAACTCTTCAGTGGTATAAAATTGAAGGAGCTGGAAAACAGGGCACCTGCACAGAGAATGTTCGCTTCTTTCCTTAACTAAGATGCCTTTCTTTTCAGATACATGTCAATCAAGAGTCAACATGTTGGGCCTCGATAAAGTAGAGTTAGGACTGAGGTTCTATATAAATTCACTGCTACGTCTTTAACAGAAGGGTAGACTTGTGTCTTAGTCTGTTTGGGTTACTCTAATAAAATACCATAAACTAGATAGCTTACAAACATCACAAATTTATTGCTCACAGTTCTGGAGGTGGAGAACTGCAAGATCAAGGTACCACGGATTTGGCATCTGGAACTCCAGATCCATTGCCTGGTTTATAGATGGTACCTTCTTACTGAGTGGTGGAAGAGGCAAGTGTCTCTCTCAGGCCTCTTTTATAAGGGCATTAATCCCATTCACGAGGGTTCATGATCTACTCACCTCCCAATGTCTCCTCCTCCTGATAATATCACATTGATGATTAAGTTTCAACATACAAATTGGGAGTGGAGGCATAAACCTTCAGACCATAGCAACTAGGAAATAACTGGTCTGCCAGAAAAGGTTCGGAACAAGGAAACATCTCTCTATCAGCCTGGGCTTTCACAGAGGCAAAAACTAAAAAAGACACCTCAATTCCTTGTGGTTTTAATTAACACTGAAAGCGTCTTCAGGAAAATCTTATACCAAGGTAGCTAAGTATTCCAGGATTGGTTATACCTCAGGGCACTGGCAGAAGCACCTTAAAATCTCATGTCAAAGAACATGCTCAACCTAACCTTCTACATATTTCCACAGGAAAAAAAAAGACAACCACATATATAAAACACAGGATAAAGTGTCTATCATGAGTGAGAATAAAAGAAATATTTAAAAATAGCAGTATTATCAAAAAGGCAAAAAATTAATAGATGCTGGTGAGGCTGAAGAGAAAAGGAACACATATACTGCTGGTGGGAATGGAAATTAGTTCAGCCATGGTGGAGAGCAGTTTAGCGATTTTTCAAAGAACTCAAAGCAGAATTACCATTTGACCCAGCAATCCCATTATTGGGTATATATCCAAAGAAATAGAAATCATTCTACCATAAAGAACATGTACATGTATGTCCATCACAGCACTAGCCACAATAGCAAAGACACCGAATCAACTGAAATCCTCATCAACGGTAGACTGGATAAATAAAATGTGGTACATATACACCATGGAATATCACACAGCCATAAAAAGAACAAGATCATGCGTTTGCAGCAACATAGATGGAGCTGGTGGCCATTATCCTAAGTGAACTAACACAAAAACAGAAAACCAAATACTACATGTTCTCACTTATAAGTGGAAGTGAAATGTTGAGTTCACATAGACACAAAGAAGGGAACAACAGATGCCAATGTCTAGTTGAGGGTGCAGGGTAAGGACTGAAAAATTACCTATTGGATACTATGCTTATTACCTGGGTGCTAAAATAATCTGTATATAAAACCCCTGTGACATGCAATATACCTATATAGCAAACCTGCACATGTACCTCTGAACCTAAAAGAAACATTAAAAGTAATTGGAAACAGAAAATTTGAGACTCCTTCTCAAAAAATAAAAAAAAGGAAAATAGCAGAATTAGGTCAAAAAAGAGATGAAGAAACTAGAATGCTCAAATACCATATTGTATTCCACCAAATATAAGATACCATGTATTATAATAGGCCCCAATTTTTAAATATCTAAAAAAACTCCTATCAATTAAATTATGATTTTTAACAATCTAATAGATTAAATAATTCATCTCAATTTCTGATATTTTAAAAATCTGCTTACATATTTAAAAAAGTAAATATATAATTAAAATACTGGCAACAAACAAGACGTGATCTTAAATTTTTTGAGATAAAAAAGAGTGAAAAATAAAATCTATGAAATTCAAAACACAATCATTAAATGGCAGATTAGAAACAGCCAAAGACAGAAACAGTGAAAAGAAAGATGAAAACAAACAAACAAACAAACATAGAATGCACAAAGAATAAACAAGGAAAAGGGATGATGAGGCCTAATATGTTTACTAACAGTTCAAGGAGAAAAGAATAGAAAAAAATGGAGGGGAAGCAATCGAAGAAGATAAACGGCTAAGAATTTTCAGAATTGATGAACTATACCAATTATCAGAATGAATAAAAAGCAACTAGAACAAAAGAAACGTTACATGCAAACATATTGTTGTAAAACTTTAGAATATCAAAGCAAAACTTAAGGTCTAGAAAACGTGACAGATTATAAACAAATCAGAACTAATTTCATTGATTGTAGATTTTTTCAACAGAAACAACAGCAATCCATATGAATATGGCTGAAAGAAAACTAAAATAAATTTTTTAAGATATACATAGATAAAATGTTCAAGATGATGAATGAAGCAAAGGCATTTTTTGACAGAAGAGCAGACTCCTAGTCATTCTCTTCTTCCCTACTGATGGAACCTCAGTTTTATTTGGAGTGACAATGTAGTTGGATTCAAAATTGCACACGTAGCCTTCCTTGAAGCTAGGGTGGCTATGTGATACAATTCTGGCCACTGAGGCAAAAGATGAGACACAGGAAGGGTTTCTGAGAATGCCGGGAATCCCTGATGTCTCTGATTCCCGTTACAGATCCTTCCTGCTCCCTTCCCTTTCCTCTCTTCTGATGCCTACTGGGCACAATACAGCTGGAGTTGCAAAAGACATCTTAGATTTTCAGGCAAAGGCTGAGGAAATAATAGAAACCTTGCCCTGTAGGTACTTACCTCTGCACTTTGCTACATGAGGAAACCAACAAAAAGGCTTTTTTTTTAAAGCCACCATTTCAGTCCATTATAGTAACTTAATTCTATTTGTTACAGACTGCAGAAGAAAACTTGATTATTAACAGAAATACGATTGTGTATAGAAAACCAAGTGAGTGTACAGTCACGTTTTCAGATATAATTAATGTTCATCAATATGTTAACATTAAAATAGACAAAAATGAATTATATGTCTATATATCACCAACAGAAAATGTAATTTTTTAAAGTATAATTTATACTAGGACACAAAATATAGGGTTTATAGAAATAAACCTTATAAAAATGCATAGGATGTTTATAGAGAAAGTTATAAAATTATTGAAAGGAATTTAAAAGTTCTAAGTAAATAGAAAGCTAAACTAAATTTGTGGATGGGAAGACTCAATTTCATGTAGAAATTTCCTTCCCCAATTTTTTGAGTCTTCCCAAATTAATCTAGACATTAAATGTAATTGCAGCAAAAATTATAATAGAATTGTGTGAGAGAGGCACTTGTCAAGTTACTTCTAAAATTTATAAAGAAGAGCAGGCCGGTGTGGTGACTCATGCCTGTAATCCCAGCACTTTGGGAGGCCGAGGTGGGTGAATCACAAAGTCAGGAGTTGGAGACAAGCCTGGCCAACCTGGTGAAACCCTGTCTCTACTAAGAATGCAAACAAAACAAAACAAAACAAAAATTAGCTGGGTGTGGTGGCAGTCGTCTGTAATCCCAGTTACTCAGGAGGCCGAGGCAGGAGAATCACTTGAACCCAGGAGGCGGAGGTTGCAGTGAGCCGAAATTGCACCATTGCACTCCAGCCCAGGCGACAGTGAGACACTCCGTCTCGAACAAACAAATGAGCAAAATGCCAGGAATAGAGTGACAATTTTGAAGAACAAGGTCTGAGGACTCAACTTAGCACATTTCAATATTTATTATAAAGCTATGGTAATGAAGGCAGCGTGGCTCCAGCACAGGAACAGGTATGTAAGCCAATGGAACAAAACAGATCCAAGAAACATACCCATACATATGAACACCTGTGCTACACTGCAAATCACTGGAGAAAGGATTAATAAATGATGTTAGGGCAATTCATTATCTTTAAAAAACTAGATCCTTACATCATATACAAAAATCAACTTCAGGTGAAAGAAAAGACCTAAACACGAAACTTAAATGAGAGTATCTTTATGACCATGGGGAATAGAAAGATAACTTACACGAAAATGACTAAACTGATAAATTTTGACTGCATTTAACTCAATAAACTCTGTTCATATAAAAACACCATAAACAAATTGAAAAGCCAAAGTACGGCCAGGAAAAAGAGGCTTCAGAACTTCTAAGAATTAACATCCCAATGGAAAAATAGGCAAAAGAAAGTAGCAATTCACAGAAGAAGAAACCAGCATGAATAATAACTACAAAAAGATGCTTATCCTTATCAGCAGAGACCACAAAAACATATCATTTACACTCATCAGGCTGACAAAAATGATTAAGTTTGGTAATAGCAAGAATTGTTGACGATATGGAGCAGGGGAACTTAATATGTATTCCTGGGCTGAATACACATGGGTACAATCACTGTGTAGAGCAATATGGTGTATCTCACAAAGGTGAAGATGTGATTATCTATGACACAGCTATTTTACTGCCAACTGTATATATCCTAGAGAAACTCTTGTACAAGACACAAGTCAAAGAATATTCATAGCATATTGCTATGAAATAAAAGACTGTAAACATAGGCAGCTTCAGTAATATTTGAAACGTTTCACTCCTGGGTGATCGGTACCTAGGTATCAGTCACACAATTTTTTTTTTTTAAACGTTAGAATGGCATGTGAAATATTGCGAACTGGTAACAGATAAATCCAACTACTTTTAGAACTTGTGGCATCATGTACTTAGAGTGGGTGGAGATAGGTAGAGATCAAGCCACGGGGCCGCACATGAGGACCTTGACAAGTTTCTTCACAAAAACTTGCTTACTCCCATTAACCCAAGAAGTGAGCTGCCCCTGACTAAGTGTCTGCATATTCTTTCTCTTTCTGCAAGCCCACCTTCACCCTGTCCCTTTGTAGCCATGACTGACAAAATAACCCTGACCTCAGGGCTCTTTCACAGACAACAGCACTGAGGAAGGCAGGGACCCTCTCTGTGAATGAAATCTACCCACTTTTCTTCAAGTCAACATGATGTCACATTTATTTTTATTAACTTTTAATGAGGCAATATTACCTATCAGAAGACCCCATGAATTAGCGCTTTTACAACAGGTAATTGATGAAACACTTTGTATTTCAACTTTATTGCTTTGCATATGCCATGAAGTTTTTTTTTTATTTTTATGAAGTTTAGAAAAAATAATTACTTCAAAAGTCAAAGTGATGTGTAACTATATAAATAAGTAATGGCATATTACATGCAGGCCGGATCAAAAGTTATCTCAGGAAGGTTAAGAGCCCTGCCCTCATCATGCTGAAGGCCCCCTTACCAGAGAAAGCCTTACACAGAATTAGGATGTGTGATACGATTTGACTCCAGGTCCCCACCCAAATTGCATGTTGAATTGTATGTAATTCCCAATTGTTGGTGGAGGAACCTGGTGGGAGGTGACGGAATCATGGGAGTGGGCTTCCCCCTTGCTGTTCTCGTGGTAGTGACTGACTTCTCATGAGATTTGATGGTTTAAAAGTCTGTGGCACGTCCCCCATCGCTCTCATTCTCTCTTGCTGCCATGTGAAGAAGGTGCCTGCTTCCCTTTCACCTCCCACCATGACTGTAAGTTTCCTGAGGCCTCCTGGTCATGCTTCCTGGTAAGCCTGCATAACTGTGAGTCAGTTAAACCTCTTTTCTTCATAAATTACCCAGTCTCAGGTAGTTCTTTACAGCAATGTGAGCATGGACTAATACAATGTGCATACTACTGTGGGAAGTATAGGATCAAAGGACATTCTAAAGATAACAGAAGAATCATGTCTAACATATGACTCTTTTTTATTACTATAAGATAAAGGAAGCTGGGGCACCTGCTCCTAGTGCCAACGGTCCTCTTTGCTCAGTGCTCCTTTGTCTTGCTGCCAGCCCTGAAAAGTGTGATCGCTCCTAGATCCAGCAGGAAGTTCATCACTGTCTAGATTGGGTGCCCTTGGAAATAATGAGAACTAGAAAAAATAAAACAGTTGTTTGGGGCCAGAATGTTTTCAAAAAAGCTTCCAATGGGAGCTCAGGTCAATTTCAGCTAAACAGCTTCAAAGCCTGTCACATATTTCTGTGCACTGGAGGAGATGTGTTCTCACAGTCCTTTCAAATTCTGATGAGCTCTCTAAACATTTGTTTCAAAATATCTCTAGTTTTTCCTAATTGTTTCTGCAGTGGCTCATAGAAAGGTCTTTTTACAGGTCTTTTTGTTTCAAAATATTTATTTCTTGGAAAAAAATTTATTTTCTTGTGGGAATCTAAGTGCTTTACTTGTTAGAAAAGAACGATACAGTTCCATATTTTACTTGTACAGCTTTGCCGTATTGGTCAATTAGGAGATGATCCCTTTGACATTCAATCACAACTCTTTGATTAAATTATTACTATCCTTAGAAAGGCTAGAGTTGATTCATTTCACAACGACTGATGGTTCCTTTTGGAATCAGCATTTATCTCATGAACAGGACCCCCTTACTTTTTAATATTTTTAACTCAGATAGTTTTAGTACTAGTAGGACCTAATACAGTTCACAATTACTGGAAAACATTTTAAAATTTAATAAGAGCAGCAAATCTTATGTTAAAGATTTGACTACGAAAATAATTTGCTGCTTCTCTAGCAAAGTAAAGTAGGTTTTTCAAATATACAAAATCGTGAAGACGGTGGGGCAAAGAGTTCTTTGGTATGACATCAAAAATATGATCCATAAAAGAAAAAACATAGACTTAATTAACATTTGTTAATTTAGTTAATTAAATTTCAGAAAATGAAAATATATGCTAAGGGCTAAAAAATTTTTGCAAGTCACACACCTGGGTAAAGGACTTGTATCTAAAATACATAAAGGACTCTTACAACTCAATGTAAAAATAGCCAATTAAAATATGGGTAAAAGAGCTGAATAGACATTTCTCCAATGAAGATATATGAATGTTCCATAAGTACAAGAAAAGATGCTCGACATAATTAGTCATCAGAGAAATGCAAATCAAACCCCCATAAGATGCCACCTTCACATGCTCTAGGATAACTATAAGCCAGAAAACAGATAATAACAAGTGTTGAGAATGTGGGGAAACTGGAACACTCTTACACTGCACATAGAAATGTAAAATGGTTCAGGTACACTGGAAGGTAATCTGGCAGTTCCTCAATAGGTTAAACATAGAGTTATCATATGACCCAGCAATTCCTCCTAGGTATAGACCACAGAGACATTAAAAAAAAAGAAAGAAAGCAAGAAAGAAAGAAACAGAGAAAAAAAGAAAAAAAAAAATCATTCCTTTATGAAAAGGTTCTACTTACTGAGGTTCCACTTGAGGCCTGTGGTTGTAACCTGCATACAAGGCTGTCCAACAGGAATAAGGCCACACCAATCACCCTCCATTCCAGTGTCTACATGCAACCTGTGCTTTCCCTGAAGGAGACAAGAAATGATCATTAAGAAGGGGAAGAGAGAAGGAATGTTAATGTGCACTGAAGACCTGGGCAGGATGCGTCTACAACCCTCACACGGCTTATCATACTTAATCCTCACAAAAAAATGTTTGCAATATGTGCTGAATAATCCTAGGAACCTTCACCCGACTTAATCCTTACAATAATTTTACAAAGTATCTGATATCTTATTGTTAATTATGTTTCAACTATGAGAAAATTGAAGCTTGCAGAGATTAACATAGGACCACACAGATAAGGGATTCCTACCTACACCTGCCAATTCCAGAGACCAAACTCACAGCAATAGGACTGTGGGTTTGAAACCTATCCTAAATGAAAGGTACCACACAAAGAGAAACACACAAAGACAGCTGCTTCTCAGCAGCCATTACAATGTATTCTGCTTTTTTTTTTTTTTTCTTTTTTAAGATGGAGTCTCACTCTGTTGCCGAGGCTGGAGTGCAATGTTGCAATCTTGGCTCACTGCAACCTCTGCCGCCAGGGTTCAAGCAATTCTCCTGCCTCCTGAGTAGCTAGGACTACAGGCGGGCACCACCACACCCAGCTAATTTTATATTTTTAGTAGAGATGGGGTTTCACCACATTGGCCAGGCTGGTCTCGAACTCCTGACCTCAAGTGATCCACCCACCTCAGCCTCCCAAAGTGCTGGGATTGCAGGCATGAGCCACGACACCTGGCCTTGCGTTTTTTGTTTGTTTGCTTGTTTGTTTTCCTAAAAAAGTTTTTATTTTCTTTTAGGTAAGAGCTGCCTTTATTCCTTTTGTATAGAATTCCTCCCCGCCCCAAGTTGATTTATATTGAATAGCTTGCCACACAAATTTGAGATTTGTTTCTTCCTACCATTCTCCATTATATAAATAATTCTCTCTGAAGACAGATATACTAAACATAATACAAATGACCATCCCTAGATGCCAAACATAGCACACTTTTAAAACAAGTGCTCAAAGAGGTATCAAAACCTTCTTTCTAATAGAAGGAGTTGATGAGGCCAGGTGCAGTGGCTCACGCCTGTAATCTCAGCATTTTGGAAGGCTGAGGCGGGCAGATCACCTGAGGTCAGGAGTTCAAGACCAGCCTGGCCAACATGGTGAAACCCTGTCTCTAAAAAAAAAAAAAAAATTAGCTGGGTATGGTGGTGGGTGCCTGTAATCCAAGCTACTCGGGAGGCTGTGGCAGAAGAATTGCTTGAACCCGGGAGGCAGAGGTTGCAGTGAGCCGAGATTGTGCCATTGCACTCCAGCCTGGGCGACAGAGCGATGCTCCATCTCAAAAAAAAAAAAGGAGTTGATGAGACAGATGTTTTAGAAATTCGGATTTCCTTAGCATTACATTAGCTTCAGCAGATAAGGAACAGGAATTGGTGACGACTTATCATGTAGGTGGATCGCCACCCAGTTTCCTGTTGAAGGGCAGTACTCTTAGGGTTCCCATCAGAAAACACAGCAATTTCAGAGGGGTTATAGGTAACCTGTAGCATTCTGGACATTTTGGGGGCAGAGAGTGGAGGGCTCAAGAGAGCACCAGTGGAACAAGGAAAGGAAGGTACACCTTGTCCAGATCTCTGTACTTCTGCATCTGATAACGGTGTTTCTGACAATGAGACCTGTTGTTAGAGTGCGACTTCTCCATCACTTATCAAAGAGGAATTCCTGTGTTCTTGAGCTATCTTATTTTCAGTGTGTTACAGTTAGTTCTTGTCTCTTAATTGATGATTTTCTTTCCTCTGTCTGTGGCCGGCTTAATGGTTTGGCAGTGCCTAGCTGAATACGTTAGCATGTTTGGTGCTCCTAGGTGACTTCTGTTAAGAATGGCGAAGGAAAGAAGGAAGTGTTTTTCAATTTGTGATATTAACTCCCTAAGAGAGTATTCTTCAACTTGTATCGTATAATGCAAAGGAAACAGCACATATACATGCTAAGTTTTATTCTCCCAGGGAGAGGAGGGCTGTTATAAAATCCAATGATTTAAATGACATAGTAGTAAGCATGCTATATATTCATTGCCTTCCTCATTATTTTAAAGAATCAGCAGGCCTTAAAATTTTCAGTCTGGGAATAAACTCGTTTGTGGACTTGAGAAGTCACAGATAGGCCTTAGCCCACAATCAATTAACCATGTTTTCTCTTGTTCCAAAAAGGTGCTTAGCCATATGTGAATGGTCTTTGTGTTTATAAAAATGCAAATACAGTTTTTATGGTTAAATGAGAGCAATATTTTCCTCCTGTATCTTCAAGTCTATATGACATCTTTTGAAAATGAACAACTGTATAAAGGAATTTTTGTTCATTCCCCAGATTTCTTAATTCATAATATGTGCTAGCCTATATGTGACTTGACACAGGCAGGCATACACGCTGACATTAAAGAACTTCCCTATGGATTTATGCCATTACTGGAGACTAGAGGCACATGAACTCATCATTTACTTCCATCTTCTCCCATGAATCATTTCACAGGTTCCTGCTCTGGCCTCTTTTCCGAACTAAGATAACTCTTTGAAGTCAAAGCCAGCCCTATATAGTAAAGAAAGAACAAAAATCAATCACAGTCAGGTTGCTTTTCCAATTGTGGTTATTGCAACACATCTAACAACCTTAATAATATGAAATTGTAATTTAGGGAAAGGTAACACAGATGTTGCTTGGTATGTGTGCTGGAAAGCATACCTACGATCATGTGAAAGACAAACAGCGTAACAGTATTAATTTCCCTAGACTGTCATGTCAGGGTAGAACAAAATACACACAAATATGAAGGGGTGAGAAATCGCTGTCCCTTTGTTTTGTATTATAACTCCACTTTCCAAAGGACAATGACATAACTGAGAGAAAAGATTAAAGCTGACTCTAGATTTTGCCTTTGAAAAATACCAAACATTGACAGGGCATGGTGGCTCATGTCTGTAATCCCAGCAATTTAGGAGGCTGAGGTGGAAGGATCACTTGAACCTAGGAGTTGGAGACAAGCCCAGACAACATAGTGAAACCATGTCTCTACAAAAAAAAAAAAAAAAAAAAAAGAAAGAAAAATATCAGAGAGATATCTAAATTCTGTTTACATACCAACATCCTTAAATCCAATAACTATGCCAAGTTTTGTGCTAAGATATTTCAGTGTGGATATCGCAAAATATACAGCCAATTAACAAGATCATTCAGAAAGCACTGAACAGAAAAAGAACATAAACACATTAGATTTAGTGTAAACAATTCAAGGAGAAGCTGCCAATGCTAGTTTATAAAGTGGCCATGCATTCATCAAGTTGTTGTTAATGCTGAACCTACACTCTGAGGCTAATGGCAGCCACAATTAGTGGCACACGGTTAGACCCTGTATGAATGAAATATTGCTGTAGACGGATTAAACACAAGGCCAGTCTCTGGTAGCTCATTTTTTGTTAGCTGGTCCAGGTACTTTAAAAATTTATCAACAAACACTGCAGGAAATTAAATAGCCTGCAGGAAAGAAGAGTAAAAGAAGTAGACAGAAGTATCTACATTATATTTAGCAGGAAAAAAGGTTACTTCTCCTACACAACAGAGTTTTGTGCTGGTATATTTTCATACTGTGACTGCTCACATAGCTGAAAGTAGTCACAAGATAAAGGGTCTCCCCAGTGAACTTGTAGTTGTAAAACCTCAGAGTTGGAAGTCTTATATATTTTCTTTGATTCTGTTCCACAAATGTGGAATTCAAAATAAAAGTGTATTGGGTTCATTTGAAATAGCCTGTATCAAATTAATGTTGCATGTATATATATTAAATTGAGGGGTGTTCCCTTTGAAAAAGCATTAATATGTTATCTACAGATAGCTTTTAGAATTTCAAATCATGTTAGAACATTTTCTAAAGTGCTTTCCATAGAACATTACTCCCAGGGTCAAATACAGATTGGAAAAATCGCTTTGTCAATTCACCTCTTGGAAACCACGATTTTTGCCAGCATGTTAGATGTTCTAGGCAATCTTGCAGCAAAAACAAGTAAACACAAACCCTGTTTACCTGAATAAGTATTTCCAAAATTTACTTCACCACAGAACCTTCCTCTGCTGCTCAAATATCATCTCGTAATTTCCCATGGAAGCTTCATTTCATGAAATCGACTTAGGAAAATGTTGATTGGGAATAATATTTTTCACACAACACCCAAAACTAGCATATTTTGGTTTAATATTTCCATAGTCAGAACATTTCAAGAATATGTTTTGAACTTAATAACTTCCATTTGATTTTTGTTTTAGAAGTTAGTCAATAACCTCTGGCTGAAATCACATACGTGTTCTGACATGAGCTAGCTGTACTATTAAAGGGTTAATGACAATACTCAACAGTTATCCAAAAGAAAACCTTAATGTAGTTAAGTTAGTTTGTTTATTCAAAAGTCAAAAACATGTATGAAATGCCTACATTTAGAGATAGTAAATAACTCTAATGACAGGCTAATTTCCTTATCAATCGCTTCACATTGGATATTACAAAATAAAACATGACACTGATGTCTCTGCTTTGTTATCACCTCTGCATTTATGCCTTTTTTACAATGGATCATATCTTATCTTCATGCCTTCCTTTTATTCCAGTCAGAGAAAAACCCAACCTTGGCCTCTTCAAAAGATATAGACATCTTAAATGATGACTTCTAGAGACAATATTTATCCCAGAAGTAAGCGTTACTGACAGCAGAAACAGGACAGGTTGCATTGAAAGATATATTTTGAGTTAGTGTGATCTCAGAGTTTTCAAATTACTTTAGATAAATGCTTTTCTTAACATAGCATCTGATCAGGATGCCCATGCTCTCCTGTCTGCTTCTATACTGTTTCTCCATCCTCAATCCAGAGAAACATCAAAGCAAAATGCAAGCTTTACTTTTTTAATGAAATCTCCCTATGTGTTCTAAATAGCAAAGATGACTTCCTCCTGAATGCTACAATTTTAATTATTTATGCTACAAAATGTAGCACTTTGGTACTGTATTGCATCCCTCAAATAGTTTCATGTTGTATCCCTAAAAAGAATAAACTTTCTTTGAAGAACAAGAATCTAATTTTTTTTCTATTGGACTTACAGCACAGTGGAAGGAACATATGTATCAAATAAATACCTGATTGTTTCATTGTTTAAAGAAAACGTATTGATGAAAAGGTGTCAATATGCTTTGAAAAATCTTCTCGCAGTATCTGAGTAGATGAGGGAAGGTCCAGGTGAACTGAAAGGACTCAAGAGACAGACCCATTATTCTTTGATAAGATCAAGCTTGCCCAACCCGCGGCTCACAGGCTAAATGCAGCCCAGGACAGCTTTGAATGTCACCCAACACAAATTCGTAAAGTTTCTTAAAACATTGTGAGATATTTTTGCTATTTTTTTAAAGCTCATCAGCTATGTTAGTGTCAGTGTATTTTATGTGTGGCCCAAGACAATTATTCTTCTTGCAATGTGGCCCAGGGAAGCCAAAAAATTGGACACCCCGATCTAGATAATGTTTGCTTAATTGGATACAAGTAAACTGTACACCAATAATCATGAAGACCCTGTCACTAGTGCTTGAAATACACTTAAAATGTAATTTTATGTGTTTCTGTAAAATGCGGACTACAATATTACCTCCCTGAGTTATTTTCAGGATGAAATAACACGTTGAACGTGCCAAGAATAGCATTTCAAGCACTCATATTATATATGTTGATTTACTTTTCTCCATTTATCAGCTCCTCCAGGTTTAATTTGAACCCACACTTTCTTTCCTTTCTGCTTTTTATTTTTTTAAAAACCTGGCCACTTTGCTCCAGTAATTTTTAAAGAAAAATAAGTGTGATTAGCCCTCATAAGACTAACGTAAAATATTAGCAGAAAGAAGGGAAAAGAAAAACATTTTAATGCTATACCTCCATGAAACATTAAGATACCTTCCTTTTTTTTTTTTTTTTTGAGTCAACGTCTCGATCTGTCGCCCACGCTGGAGGGCAGTGGTGCGATCTTGGCTCACTGTAACCTCCACCCTCACCACGGGTTCAAGCGATTCTCTTGCCCCAGCCTCCTGAGTAGCTGGGGTTACAGGCGCCCAGCACCGCGCCTGGATAATTTTTTTATTTTTAGTAGAGACGGCGTTTCACCATGTTGGTCAGGCTGGTCTCAAACTCCTGACCTCGTGATCTGCCCACCTCAGCCTCTGAAAGTGCTGGGATTACAGGCATGAACGACGGTGCCCAGCCGACATTAAGATATCTTAAGGAGAGTCATTTCTCCAATTTGTCATACAGAAGCTCTAGTTTTTAGTAAATGAATTTTTAAATAAGAGCATACCTCTTTTACTTTGTTCATCATTTTAAAAAAAGTTCTAAGAACTCCTTCTGAAGCCTAATATCTGGTCACTAAACCCAATGTGAAATTCTTCAAGTTATTTTTTGGAATTCTCAACATGAATTTAGCCAAATACTGCGATAACTCAATGTTATCTTTTTTTTAGTGATAGTAATAATTTAAGTAATATTTCATTCAGATTCTAAATATACTAACGTATTTCCCACATTTTCTATAATTGTAAAAGAGTTGATTGGAATGCTGTTACTGCAATACATATTTCAACTTTCTTCCTGTATTATTAACTGCTCCAACTTTGTTACTATAAAAGAGCTACCAAAGAGAGTCCCCTTCAATAGACAATCAGCTTCCCACAATTACTGTAAGCACTAACATTCCCTTCTACCTGAACCCCCCATCTTTTGTCAGATGAGCTATTCATCAATCCCCATGCACTTCGCTTTGATGTTATCTCAGAAGCTACAAGTCATTAAGACTGGCAGGAGAATGGAGGATAAGCGGGGAGATGGTTCAACCGTAGGGAGAACTACTGGAATGATCCTATTCATTATCAAACTCCAGGCAGCGTTTCTGCTAGCTGAGAATGTGGTATGGCTGATGTTCAGCATGCTTAACTGAATGTTGGGTGTCTCGTGATTTTTTTCACTCGTGTTAATAATGCTCATGGGATATTGTTAGTGTTCCTGAAGAAAGTGTGCAGGGAAAGACAACAAATTTGCATTTATTTATTTTGAAAACCAGCATGACTATCAAACTCTGTAACCTGGAAGAAATAATGAGAAAGATCTAGTTAAAGAAAAAACGGGGCGAAAAATGAGTATCTTGTCCAGGCGTGGTGGCTCATGCCTGTAATCCCAGCACTGTGGGAGGCTGAGGCGGGCAGATCACCTGACATCAGGAGTTCGCGACCAGCCTGGCCAACATGGTGAAACGCTGTCTCTATTAAAAATACAAAAAAAAAAAAAAAAAATTAGCCAGGCTTAGTGGCAGGCGCCTGTAATCCCAGCTACTCGGGAGGCTGAGGCAAGAGAATTGCTTGAACCCGGGAGGCGGAAGTTGCAGTGAGCCGAGATCGCGCCATTGCCCTCCAGCCTGGGGAACAAGGGCGAGACTTCGTCTCAAACAAAACAAAACAAAACAAAACAAAACAAAAAAAAAACCACACAAACAAAAGAAAAGAAAAATGAGTATCTTACTTTATTTGGGCAACTAGAATAAAACACCACAAAATGGTAGCTTATAAACAACATAAATTTACTTCTCAAATTTCTGGACCCTGGGAAGCCCAAGATCCATATGCTGGCAGATTCAGTGTCTGGTTAGCACCTGCTTGCTGGTTTACAGATGGCACCTTCTCAGTCTGTCCTCACGTGGGGAAAGTGGCAAGGAGTCTCTCTCAGGCTTCCTTGAGAAGCGTACCCATCCCATTCAAGGGTTCCATTCTCACGACCTAATCATCTCCTAAAGACCCCATTTCCAAACTTGGGGTTTAGGATTTCAATATAGGAGTTTTGCACGGGGGAGGGGAGACACAAACATTCAGACCATAGCAGTGAGGAAACAATTTTTGAGTATTTGCTTGGTGCAAATATTCTGCTGGGCACTATAATTCTCGTAACAACCTTGTGTGGTAGAATTACTGCTAAAATAAAGATTGTAGACTCAGGGCAGTCATGAACTCATTCAGGATAACTCAACTAGTAACAGTAGGTGTGATATCTCAACCCAAGTATGCTGTGATTTTAAAGCCCACTTGTTTTTACTATGTCATCATGTATTTCTAGGCTCTAACTTTAAAAACCAGTCTGGCCCATTTATCTCATTGCTTGCTTTTTCCCCATTCTTCCTTTTTGTTCCCTATATTCACTTTCCAAGTGAAGCTTCTGCATGACCTTGCCTAAAGTTTATCCTAAATAATAAATACTCATACAGTACATGAATGAATAAGTCAGTGAATGCCTATCTTCTTTGACCTCATCCATGTATCTTCAATAGAATGTCCCATTCTCTTTATTTACTATGTTATGTCTCCATTCATTTCGCTGTTCTGTGTTGGTGACTGAATATGCGGAGGATGCAGATAAGTCTGTGTGAAACACTTATTCATGTTTTCAAAACATGTCTATTGGGTTTTCCAGAAGTTCACAAAGAATGGTTAAAGCAAAATCAATAACTGGGCTATGAACAAGAAAACTGAGATACAATAGTCATTTTTTTAAAAAAAATCCAGTATCATAAAGCAAGAACAAACAGGACAATTTTGCTTCTCCTCTCCCCCAATCTTAGAAAATATTAATGAAAAGCAGGTAGGCTTAATATTCAGATGGTACAAGTCCCAACACTCAGTTCAGATGCCACCGAATCCACTATCCTTCTCAGAATCCTTTGTTGAACTTGTAATCTGGGCTACTTGCATACCTTCTGCTCTCCACACACACTATTTCAAGTCTAATTCCCTTACCAGAAGATAAATGCCTCAAGGAGAGAAGCAGATCTTATTGATTTTTTTTTTTTTTAATTTTGAGATGGGTTCTGGCTACGTTGATCAGGCTGGCCTCAAACCCCTGGGCTCAAGTGATCCTCCTGCCTCAGCCTCCTGAGGAGCTGGGAGTATTACGTACACAGTAGGAGTACAATAAATATTATGAAAAGGAAAACACTAAGCTTAGTAGTTTCCATATAACAACTCTTGACCTTCTTCATCTGCCATCTACCACCTTACTACCCCATTTATTTGTTCCCATTTACATTAAGATTCCTAGAAAGCACTGTCTAAATTCACTGTCTCCAGTTCTTCTCCTCTATTCTGTCTTTGATATAGTTTTCATATTTGTCCCTGCCCAAATCTCGTGTTGAATTGTAATCTCCAACATTGGATGTGGGGCCTGGTGGGAGGTGACTGGATCATGAGGGTCGATTTCTCATGAATGGTTTAGCACCATCTCCTTGATGCTATTCTTGTGAGAGTGAGTTCTTGTGAGATCTAGTCATTTAAAAGTGTGTGGCACCGCCCCCCACTCTCTTGCTTCTGCTTTTGCTGTGTAATGCACCTGCTCCCCCTTCACCTTCTGCCATGATTGGAAGCTTCCTGAGGCCTCCCCAGAAACAGATGCTGCTATGCTTCCTGTATAGCCTGCAGAACCTAGAGCCAATTAAACCTCTTCTTTTATAAATTACCCAGTCTCAGGGATTTCTTTATAGTGGTGCAAGAACGACCTAATACTGTCTTAGAGTCATACCAAATAAGCTTTTGCCCCCATCACTCTTCCAAACTGGCTTTCACTGAGAAATCCAATGACCTCCAAGTTGCTAAATTCAATGGTCAACTATTAGTTTTCATTTGAGTTGACCTATCAGCAGTGTTTGCAATGGGTTATCATTCTCTCTTTTTGATAAATTATCTTTACTTTGCTTCCAGAATACCACACTCTTTTGATTTTCCTCTTAACCCATGTGTCTTTCACTGGCTCCTCCCCTTCTTTTCAAACTCTCAATGATGGAGGGTCTAAACTCCTTACTCTCAGCAAGATCCTCCTCCCTCATATGCCCATATTCACACTCTTTGTGATCTCAATCATCTAGATGTTGTGGAATCCCAAATTTGGATCTCTAGCTCAGACTTCTCTCCCAAACTCTGCTTTTGCATGTCCAATTGCCTATTTTACATATCTTGACCTTTTACCTCAAACCCACCCCATTCACAGCTTTTGATCTCAGTTGAGAGCTACTCCATCTTTCCAACTGCTTAGGCCAAAGGATTTCTTCTTTTCCCATACCCCACATCTAACCCATAAAGAAATCTTATTGACCCTATTCTAAATAGTTTCAGAATTCCTATCACTTCCTATCACATCTCACAGTCTCATTCATTACCACCCTGTGCACTTTGCCATAATAAGGTCTCCTCTTGCCTCACTAGAGTCTGTTCCCAAACCAGCAGTTGAAAATGATCCCTTTAAAAAGTAAATCAGACCCACCTACCTCCAGGCTGACCCCTTCCCTCAAGAGAAACACTCCCAGGTTTCAGAAAGCATTCCATTTTCTTTTTCTAACTCTTGAGAAGTCTGGGGATACTATAGATTCTGTCCATGGAGTCTGAGGAAATCACTGTCATTGTTAGTGAATCCTTCTTTTGAACTTGCCTGGGTTAATCTACCCTGCATGCAGCGTGACCATTAAGAGTACTGTAAGCCAGGCACGGTGGCTCATGCCTGTAATCCCAGCACTTTGGGAGGCCAAGGCGGGTGGATCACCTGAGGTCAGGAGTTCGGGACCAGCCTGGTCAACATGGCGAAACATTGTCTCTACTAAAAATACAAAAATTAGCCAGGCATGGTGGCGGGTGCCTGTAATTCCAGCTACTTGGGAGGCTGAGACAGGAGAATCACTTGAACCCAGGAGACGGAGGTTGCAGTGAGTCGAGATCATGCCACTGCACTCCAGCCTGGGTGACAGAGCAAGACTCTGTCTCAGACGGATGGATGGATAGACAGACAGACAGAAAGACAGACAGACAGACAGACAGACAGACAGAGTATTGTAGGTGCTAGAGAAAGACTTCATGGATTTCAATCCCTTTCTATCATGTCTAAGTTTCATTTTCTTTAACTACAAAACCAGAATAAAAACGTTGCTTTGGGAACTTAATGGCTTGAAATGCAAAGCCCTTAGAATAGTGCCTGCCAAAGAGTAAATGCTCCAAAAACATCTGCTATCATTATGTTTAGAAAACAAACGGATTAAATCACAGGTAACACAATTAATTACTTTTACTTTTAGAAAGTCAGTGTACCTGCCTCTCATTTTGGGGATCTTGAATGTTGGGATACAGTTGTCTTCTGAAAGCAACTTGAGAAGTACTTCATAACCTACAACCTACTGTGTTTGGGCAAAAATGTCAGAATAAACACTCCTTTCAAGTTATGTAGATTACAATCTTCATTGTTATAGTGGTCTTATTTTGATACCTCTTCTATATCAGATACTTTGACATGAGAAATGTAAAAGCACTGATACTGGGGTGTGTGTGTGTGTGTGTGTGTGTGTGTGTGTGTTGGAAGGGAAATATATAGATTTTTATCCTTTAAGGTAAAATTGTGGTAATATTTCTGAGAAAAATATGCCTTAATACAACTAAGCTTTCCATTTTGATGCTAGAAAGATTATTGTAATGAGAGTACAATTAAGCATACTAGATGTGACAAGTTGGGTTAGAATTAACAACTGATATTAAGCGGCCTTTACACTTGTCACAAACCAAGCGCACTTCAGGAGAACATGATCACCCTCACCCTGGACTTGACTCAACTACCCAGTCTTCTCCCCTCTCCTGTTCATAAAGGTCTGTGTGTCTGTGTTTGTCTACCACTCTCTTCCCTATTTCTCTGTGGCAATCAAGCTCCAAAACAGCGCCCAGTGAACCTTGCCTCCTGGTATTTGTGCCCTTGCATTCCCTGCACCGAATAAGCTAACCTGTATGACCAACAGGACACTGCAGAAGTGCGGGTGTATTGTAACTTCTGAAGCTAGATCATTAAAAAAAAAATACAGCTGCCCTCTTGCTTGCTATTGAAGATTACTTGCTCTGGGGGAAGCCAATCCTTATGTCATGAGGACACTCAAGCAGCCCTTTAGAGAGGTCCGTATTGAGAGGAATCCAACCTCACACCCATCGCTGCCACCAGCTGGTACCAACTTGTCAGCCACATGGAATCTGATGCCTGACACCAGGACAACCAAGCTATACAAGACCCTAAGCTTGGAACGTCCAGCTAAGACCAAATTCCTGACCCACAGAGAAGCTTTGAAAGATAATAAATGTTTACTGTTGTGTTAAGCCACCAAGTTTTCGGGCAATTTGTTACACAGCAATGGATAACTAACACACTCTCAATCTCTTGCTGTCCCTCTCCAGATGGCTTTGTCTGCACTATTTTATCTTTGTATGCCCACTGCCTTTTTTCCTTGTCATTCCTTGTGCTCTTTCTGCTTTTTTAGGCCACCATAAAACAGAAAAATCATTTTTGGTGTTTTTTTATGTGTTTGTTCAAAAGAGTTTAAGGGTCTCTTAAAATTGTAAAAAATAAGAAGTTTTATTTATTTATTTTTGTTTCTAAAATAAAAGAAAATGACCAATTTTCCCTCCTCTTCTCTGGGAGTTATCTGGACTGTTTTTTTTCCCCTGCTTATCTTTGTTTTCTCCTGGGCTATCAGTCTGAGAAAGGTAATAGTGAAGTCAGAGAATAAAGGTTCCTCAACAGTTATTTAATGAAGATGGAAACATAATCATTAAAACAGAACACTTTACGCTTAACAGCACTGAAAATGCTCAAACACACTGTACTGTATGTGATTGCTGACAAAGCCTCCATCTGAACAAGAATGAACCACATGTCATAATGAATTTGGCATACTGGGGAAAAAAGCATTAAAAATATTATACATTAACTATCTCCGTTCCTGTCCAAAAACCACTTATGCTGTCTTCATTCAAATAAATGGTAAAATATGACCATACTGTTATACTGAATTTGATTGGACCTTGTAAAGTTTTCAAAATTGGATGGTCCAACTCCAGACACATTTCAAAAGGAACATGCAAAAAACTGTTCTCTACCCTGTATTGTCTACTTTTCTAGTATTTTTAATACAATAAAATATTTTAGTTTTACAGTTATCAATTTTTGGTATCCTAGAAACTCCACAATGATGAAAAAGAACAGGTGCTCACAACAAAGCAGAATTACCAACATATTTATGGCCTTATCGTTTGACAGGGAAGGTCAAACCTCTCAGAGTTTATTCATAACCCTGCATCGGCTTTCAATTCTTTGAAAATTGCTCCTTGATACCCGACTTCCCTGAAATCACAGAGAGTGGCAGCCACTCTCTTAAGGTATAAATCAGATTCTAAATAACTGATAGTGCTTTTTTCCTCTAGACATGGACAAGAAAAGCACTGCATTTTCATTGCTGAATGCCAGTACTTAGAAAGACCAGTGCACCAAGGATGTTTTTAGGGCTTAATTTCTAAAGTCATCTATAAGAAACTGCCTTTGAGATTTTTTTTTTAAAAAAGGTCCGGCTCTTGTGTGTCCCTGGCATTTTAATAACCTCTCTTCTTTCGTTCTCCAAATTCAAATTTAACGCAATCGCAAACTTAGTGACTGTCCATCACTATAAGTTCTATGACGATGTAGCTGTTCCATACTTAAGAAGATGTGGATAATTTTGGCTCACTATAATACCAGCTGATGACACAACGGCAAGTGAAAATAGTCACACAGATGCATAGGCAACTAACAATTTAGAAAAAAAAGTAAAATTAAGGACAAATAGAGTAAGACAGGAAAAAATCTTGTGTTTTTTTCTCTATGAGATATCAGTAATTGTTGCAGGGCCAATTAAGAAGTAGGTCATGGGAACTCTTTATTGTAATAATTAGTAACATTATTTAAAAATATTTGGCATTTAGCAGCTCAGTCACGGTAGCTGGACATTTCTTCTGAAATGTGCTTATACACCTGGTGAACAGTCTGAAAGCCATACAATGTGAAAAACAGGAATCTTTAATCTGCTGCCATGTTTTCAACTCACGAGTTATCAATACACCCTTTATAAAAATAATGAAATGCTGCTTTTTCATTTAGCTGTTTATCTCAATAAAATTAATATAATCATATTAAGGTTCATCCAGATGTCTGTTTTATCATAAAATACTGGCATTTGATTTCAGTTGCTATATTTAAGTTTCAATTCATACTTGGTTGGCATCAAACAGCACCAAGAGAATCAGCATCATTGTAGTGAGAATCAGCATAGACTCTGGCATTTGGCTACCTGGGAACAAGTTCTATTCTGCTACTTATTGGCTGTGTGACTTTGGACAGTTAAATTAATCTCTCTGTGTCTCAATTCCTTAATTTTCAAAATTGAGGTAATATTTGTCATGGCCAATAACTGAGATGGTTTTAATATGAGAACAAGCACTTGCATCAATTCAAAAGGCAGCAGTTGTCACAACATGCGATATGAATGAAAGTTCATTGTATAGCACTATACATGTGCTGTTGTAAGGCACACATGATAGAGAACTCCAATGAGTAGGTATGAATGGCACTAAATCCAGTGAACGTCCTTGGAAGTCTGTAAAGGAACCCATCTCCTGCAGGGTATCAAAAGCTGAGGATTAGGTCTAGGACTTCATTATAGGTAGCAGAGCTCCCTTGAAGGTTGAATTCTCAGCATATTCTTTTTCCCAAGTCTGCTACATCGAGGTCAGGGAACTAACTGGGAAGGAGTAGGACCCAGAAAAACAGAATAGGAAAATCTGAGTTCAAGAACTCAAAAAACTTTGCAGAGAATGATGGTTTCCAGCTTCATCCATGTCCCTACAAAGGACATGAACTCATCATTTTTTATGGCTGCATAGTATTCCACGGTGTAAATGTGCCACATTTTCTTAATCCAGTCTATCATTGTTGAACATTTTGGTTGGTTCCAAGTCTTTGCTATTGTGAACAGTGCCGCAATAAACATACGTGTGCATGTGTCTTTATAGAAGCATGATTTATAATCTTTTGGGTATATACACAATGAGAACACATGGACACAGGAAAGGGAATGTCACACACCGGGGACTGTTGTGGGGTGGGGGGAGGGGGGAGGGATAGCATTAGGAGATACACCTAATGCTAAATGATGAGTTAATGGGTACAGCACACAACATGGCACATGTATACATATGTAACAAACCTGCACATTGTGCACATGTACCCTAAAACTTAAAGTATAATAAAAATAAATAAATACATAAAAAAAAGCTTTGCATTGCTTGATTCATCTGAAATCTACAGATTTCAGAAGTGGCTCTTTCTTTCCAGTTAACAGCTAGCACTCCCCTTCTCCTTGAGATTATTTAGAACCTCTGCCTTATAAGGGAACATGTCACCCTTCCAGATTTACCCCTCTTATCCCCTCCTGGCCACCAGTTCAATAACAAAGGTGAAGGTCCAACATAACCCAGCCATGAAAGGGCTGGCACTGCTGAGGGAAGAAGGGACTACATTCCAATAGAGCTAAGGACTGGTCCCCAAAGATGCTGGATCAAACAGGGTGAAACCTAAGGTAAGATAAGGGCTAGTTTATGGATAATGAAGCACTTTGGCATGACAGAGAATGTACCACCCTACAGAGGACTCTAGTAGACAGTGGTAATAAAACTCCAGTTGGCTCTGGAAAGTTGGGAAGAAGTGATGGTTTACTGTAAATGAAATTTAAATTTCTAGAATTTCAATGGCAAATGGCGAAGGATGGAAGGGATCCAAAGGCTCAGAGAAGTGAGCACGCTAGAGTAGATATGCCACCCGAAGCCAAAGTCCATCAGTTAACTCTGTTCTATGAGAAGCTGGAGGACAAAAGTGAGAAGGAATGAGCTAGTGAAAGGGATACCAGCATCCAAAAGAAGTCCTGTGGAAGCTGTCCTCTATAGACTAAGGCTGGTAAGAAAAGATGCAAATGGTAGAAGATGCTACACAGAACTGGGCTCCAGGAGAGCAACTGAGATGACAGGATCCTACCATAACAGACCAGATGATGGCCACTAACTGTCAAAAGCAGGGTAGGCTCAATTATCAGAACTAGTGACAAGACTAGTTACAGCCAGGGGCACCTTAACCGCAAAAAACTTTGGAGATGGTTACTAGGACACAAAGTTCCAGGAGACAAGATAAATGGATTGCAACAGAAATATTGCTTCATTTATAGGATTAAAATAAATCAGTTAATAAATTCATGACCTTTTGCCCCATTTCTGGCCATAAGCCAGTTCTCAGAAGTATAAACAATGGTATATATTTCAGTATAAACTGAAAGAGAGGATGAGTTCTCAGGAGGAAGGACTCTGTCCACTCATTTATATAACTGATGATTCCCTAGTCCTTCCCTAAAGAGATCCACAAGTGTTTACTGAGGTGACCATGGGAACCTCTGGGGTAACCACTGGGCAAAGGAGGACATCCATACATTGCATGGAGATGAACCATCACTGCTGAATAAGAACCTGAGTTGATATTAAGACCCAGGGACCTGAAGCATCATTGTGGCCCACTGTCAAAGTGGGGGTAGATGGGGTAGGGAGAGTAATAAACGGAGTCCGTGACCTAGTCTGGCTCACAGTGAGCCCACTCAGTCCATGAACTATCTGGTGCTTGACTATATGGTTAGAATGAACATACTCAATAGTTGGCAGAATTTCCACACTGGTTCCTTGGCCTGTGGGATAAAAGCTACTATAGTGAGGAAGGCCAGGTAGAAGCATCTGAAACTGTCACTCCTCTCTCTCCTCCTCATTAAGAAGATAATTTAAAGATAACATGGAATCCAGGAGAGAAAGAGATCAGAGTCACTCTTAAAGAGTGACTCCCTCACATCCTCATTTAATGCTTTACTCTGGTCAGCAACAAAAATCAGAAAGATGTGAGAGAATGACGAAGTACTACAAACTCAACCAAGTAGTAGCCCCAGTTGTAGTTACTCTGCCAAATGTGGTATCTGCTAGAGAATATTAATACAGCTTCGTGGCAAAGGAGGCTAGGGTACATCCTAGACTCCCCAGCAGTGGCCCGTAGTAGCCAATGCGAGGTGCGATGCACACTGCTTCTCAGCCTTCCATGTGCATGCCTTCATTTCTCCTTTTTTTTTTTTTTTTAACTGTGTGAAATAGACATGAACCCTGGCTAACTCTGGAAACTATGTTGATAATAATAGAGCCTAAAACACTTTAGGTGCCTAAATGGCTGTGGGGACAAAAGTATCCCACTGAGCTGTTCAACAGCATAGAGTTGTCATGTAAACACAAGATATTCTTCTTTGGAATTTGAACGAGCAAAAAGGGAGGCATTAAAAATATGCAAACAGAGAATAGGGGATTACAACAAAGGGTTAACAGGAAAGAGTTGAAAGCTAGTGTAAGAGTCACAACCACTGACTGATGAAAAACTTTGCTTTCATTCCATGCATTTGACTTGTAACCATGCAGGTAATGGTTTCATGTTGCCATGAAGTATTAATATATTTAGTAGCTTTGTTCTCTCCAATATTATTAGTTTATTCTAAAAAGAGGAGTACATTTTTCCTTTTTTTTTTTGAGATGGAGTCTGGCTCTGTCCCCCAGGGTGGAGTACAGTGGCACGATCTCAGCTCCCTGCAACCTCCATGTCCCGGGTTCAAGTGATTCTCCTGCCTCAGCCTCTAGAGTAGCTGGGATTACAGGCGCCCACCACCACACTTGGCTAATTTTTGTATTTTTCATAGAGATGGCGGTTTCACCATGTTGGCCAGGCTGGTCTTGAACTCCTGGCCAGGCTGGTCTCGAACTCCTGACCTTAGGTGATCCGCCCGCCTTGGCCTCCAAAAGTGTTAGGATTACAGGCATGAGCCTCCGCGTCTGGCCTTTTTTTCCCAAAGTTAATGTCATATTCTATAAAAGGGAATGTTTGGTATGGAACTGTAAAAGTTTGAATACAAGTAAATAAGGATTTAGAAAGATATTCAAGGATTAGGAATACAGAAAACAGAACATGATTAGTCTCAATCCTTAGAGTAGCTCAAAATATAACTGAGAAATTAAGAAATAAGTAAGTAAAGACAGAGACTATGTGTCAGTGTTAGAAACAAGAAGAACCCTGAAATAATGGGCCTCCGTTAGTACAAGAGTGTTGCGACAACAAGCTCAGAGCTAGCCATTACTTCTTGATAAACAAACTTACAAACCTGTTACCATAAATTATAAATTAATCTATACTGGTCAGGCGCAGTGGCTCACGCCTGTAATCCCAGAATTTTGGGAGGCCAAGGCAGGCGGATCACTTGAGGTCAGGAGTTCAAGACCAGCCTGGCCAACATGGTGAGCCCCGTCTCTACTAAAAGTACAAAAATTAGCTAGGCATGGTGGGGAGCATCTGTAATCCCAGTTACTCGGCAGGCTGAGGCAGGAGAATTGCTTGAACTGGGGAGGGGGAGGTTGCAGTGAGCCGAGATGGCACCACTGCACTCCAGCCTGAAAAACAAAAGTGAAACTACATCTCAAAAAATAAATAAATAAAACAAACAATAAATTAACAAATTAATTAACCTATACTAATCCTGTACTCTGTCATTAAAAACAAACAAAAAAAAAACTTTTGTTAAATCTTACTGAGAAGGTCAAAAGATTTTTCCATAACATAAAATGGTTGGCTTAAATTTCCAAGAAGTATTTATTTGTAAGTTTTAGGCCAGAATATGGTTGGGTTTGTTTTGGTGTAGAAATCTTTTTTGTCACCTAACACCATAACTGTTTCTCATTGAAAATCAACTTTACTCAATATAAGTTAACTTACTGTGACATCACTGACCTAATTTTAAATAATTCAAAATTTTGAAAATGACTGACACTTTCCTCCAAGTAAGAAACACAGGTAAAGGTATATTTCCTCTGTATTAGTCCATTTTCATGCTGCTGATGAAGACATACCCAAGACTGGGGAAAAAAAGAGGTTTAATTGGACTTACAGTTCCACATGGCTGGGGAGGCCTCAGAATCATGGTAGGAGGCAAAAGGCACTTCTTACATGGCAGTGGCAAGAGAAAATGAGGAAGAAGCAAAAGTGGAAACCCGTGAGAAACTCATCAGATCTCGTGAGATTTATTCATTATCACGAGAATAGCACTAGAAAGACCGGTCCCCATGATTCAATTACCCCTCATGTGGGAATTCTGGGAGACACAATTCAAGTTGAGGTTTGGGTGGGGACACAGCTCATCTTCCTTTTAAAATACACTTTCAAGTAAAATAATTAACAGATAACTTCACATCTCAATGCAGAATCTCAAAACAGTCAAATTCTAACTTTGATACTAAAAAGTTACCTTCATTGAGAAATACAGTCCTGCTCCTTTACACATTGCTAGAGACACTGAAATAGTCATTTACAGACTTGTTGAATTTTATTTTTTATATTTTAATCAAAATGTCTTATTTGGTAGTTCTACCCCCCAGAGTGAAATAGACTGAAACTCATCAACAAATTCATTGAGAGAAAGAGATAATTAAATATGTCATCCACTGCTCTTCAATTATTTTTGCCAAATTTTGTGAAGTTACCCTCTGAATACGGAGATTTTAGCAGTCCAGGTACGATCATTCCTCTGCCGCTTTATATAACCCATATTCTTACAATGTGCAGGTTAAAACAAGGCCAATGGCCTCATTGCTGAATTAAGATTTTCATATTGTACATGCCTGAAAGGAAAATGTGACCTGAAATGGGCAGAATAATTCTAGGATTCCCTGGTTATAAACATACCTTGAAAGGCATTTGCCATCCAGCCACATCTTGTCTCTAACTATTAATGTAACCTTGGGTAGAGAACTAGACTTCGTGGTGCCTCTGACTTCAAGTATTTTAGCCACATCAGCAAAATCAACCCTCATGTGGAGGAGGATAAAAAGGGGAGTAGACAGAAGACTCTCATCTTCAAGCATTCCCATCCCACTGGGAGGAATATCCCCAGCATGAGAATGAGCACATCAATTTTCCTAAAATCTGATACTATCATACATCGGTTTCCTCTCACTCCTATCACGCTAATTCCTTCTTGACCATCAGCCCTCTGATTATAATTTGACTTCTAATATGGTATGTTTTTGGGAGGGGAAGCAGTGAAAAAACATAAGATAATATGGACCTCACATTTTCTTGATACTGTTATTTTCTTATAAATTACCAAAGTATTAATGAGAGATCAAGCTGCACACTATTTCAATTACTATCATAGATATATTTCTTGTTATGATGAGTGAAATTAGTTTTATAGTCTTCCATTTTTAAACAGGTATGCTGTATGAGGAAGGAGGCTTTGTTTTTCACCTTTAATTATTCTCTAATTTTGCCAGACAAGCCAATAGAAAAAAAACAAAAAGCAGAAGATGGGTCAAAACTTGTATGCATTGCTTTTACATGAAACACATTACTACAAATTCACCTCTGTCCATATTACCCAGGTTCAGCCTTGGTCCCCATCCTAAGACCAGTCTATACAGGATTGTTAGGTCACTTTCCGAAAATCTCAAGGCTGTTGTGAAAACATAGACCAAATAAATGGGTATAGTGCCTAGTGTAGGAGAAAGAATAACCAATAATACCAAATTGCTGTTTGTCTTAAAAGCACCGTAATTTGAATGCTTTTACATCCTAGCATCTCCATAAATGACATACATTCACAGTACAGAGTTTGGGCATACTGTCCAAGTAGAAATTAAAATGTGAACCCTTACATTCTGACTCTAAGTTGGACATCACAGTGGATATAAGAAGTTATCGGAAAAATATAATTTTGTGGTCATTTTACATTCTCAATGAATTTTAAATACTACTTAAAAATTAGCTGTTCAATTTTTTATAACCTTTGGACACTGGTGGAACAGGAGCTAGGTTTGCACATGCATCCAATAGAGATAAATTAGGATTCATTTTGAAGGAGTTGTCTTATCCAACTTTCTTTTTGTTAAGAAAAAAAATCTGACATTACAAAGTATAAAAGGAAAGTTTTAAAAACCAGGCAGTTTTTCCCCTATTAAATAGTTTCTACTTATATTCGTCTTCTGAAAGTTACAGGATGATGCCTTATTAGCTTTGAGTATTAATAAATGACCTCATTCAATTTAAGCAAGTTATAAAAAAAAGTATTCTGAAGGGAAAGAGTGCTGCTACTTCCTCAAACGAGGAAAGTTAGTATCCAAACGTTATCATAAATAATGTACTTTTGCAAGTAAAAGAATGATATGTATGACATATATATATATAATATATATACACTTTTAAGATAAGTAGCCACACATTTTACTACTACTTCCTCAAATGAGGAAAGTTAGTATCTAAATGTTATCATAAATAATGTACTTTTGCAAGTAAAAGAATGATATGTATGATATATATATATATATACACTTTTAAGATAAGTAGCCACACATTTTAACTCATCACTTTTCAGATACTAATGAACAAAAACATATAGGTTCTCAGTCCCTTCTCCCCTAGCCTAAACTTCTACAGTTTCTGCTGCATAAGAAGTCTGCATGGTATGGCAAAGGGCAGTGTCATAAGAGCACAAAATTAAGGTAAATAGAATGCTTAATGACCTCATAGAAATCTAGTTCTCTTGACCCATTTGAATTGTACTCTTCACTTGCCCTCCACGATTAAATGTGTTAATGCTTATGCATCGTGCTCAATAGTTCATTTGGTACTTCTTACTGAATAGGAAACTTTTAGACTAATCCAGTTTTAAAATAAAGGAAGGTGTAAAAGCTAACAACATTATAAAGTTAGGAGTGATGTATAAAAAATGTGAAAGAATTAGGGCAAAATAGAATATAAAGCTCCTGTACCTATGAGCACTCAGCGTTTCAGCACTGCTAAGATGAGTTGCTAAAATTGAGATGTGTCAAGATTTACCATTTCAGAGCTTGAGTCTAGGTTATGACAAATCTTCTAAGCACTTAAAAGTTAAATGAGTACGGAGTGGATAATGAGATTTTTTCTTTCTCTAAAATGTAAACCTGATGAATGATGCCTGAAAGCACCACCAGTCATTTTTATGAGTCCTCAGCAAAGCAATACAAGGCATTTTTGTTTTGTTGTTGTTTTTTTCTTTCTCTGTACCTAAAAGGAAGATTTTCTTTATTTTAGCTTTTCTAGGATGGTCACATCCCCTTTTGGAGACAATGTTACCTCTACAAACTTAAATAGCTAAGACAATATACTTTCTTCCTACATAATAAAAATCAAACTATAAATATAGTTTAGGATATAAATTGTAAATATGTATTAATAATTTTATATCCTAATTAGGATTTTAGGATTATTTACAACAACCAAAAGTACATACATGTGATAATGAATTGGTTACAATTTATAAAAAGTCAAATTGCAGATATACAATTGTGTATAATATGAATAATTTTTTATATGAAAACGGAAAGTAAATCCTGTAAAAAAGAAATATAGTGTGAGAGGAATCTAAAATTAATTATCTTTGTGAACCTTAAAAAAAAGTATATTACTATTAATGTTTGATTCAAATATTTTTTCTGTTGTTTTCAAGCCCAGTTGTCAAAGATCAACTTCTAACATCAAAGACCTGACAAGAATTGTATGAAAGTGTCCTATTTCTATTGAAAAAAACCTCATCAATTAAAGTATTATTTTTATTAACAATAATTCTGAAGTATTTTTTACCATGTAAAAAAGGATACGCACCTACAGGTCTATAAACATTTTCTTCTCAAGGAAGATGGTCTTGAAAATATAATATTCAATGCTTGATAACTTAATCCCATGAACATATTATAAATTTGCATCAAAAATATCTATTTCCATATTCAATTTAAATATGAGAGTCACCTTGAACTGTTTCTTAGAATCTAAATGTAAAATGGAGAAATATCACCATTTACAAAGGGAACAGTAAAATGTTCTATGAAATATATCCAGAGAACCCTTGAAACAAGCTAAGGGGGCCAGAGGGGAAGAGGACACATAGGGTTGGAATTGCACATTTCTTTGGGAACCGTGACTATATATTGATTAAATATTTGGGATAAAAAATATGATAAAAATTATATATGTAGCAAAATAAAAAAATCCACTATGATGCAATTCAAAGTGCCTTCTGCAATTTCTTTTCTTTTTCTTTTCCTTTTTTTTTTTTTTGTTTTTTGAGATGGAGTCTCACTCTGTTGCCCAGACTAGAGTACAGTGGCGCGATTTCGGCTCACTGCAACCTCTGCCTCCTGGGTTCAAGCAATTCTCCTGCCTCAGCCTCCTGAGTAGCTAGGAATACAGGTGCATGCCACCATGCCCAGCTAATTTTTGTATTTATTGTAGAGATGGGGTTTCACCATGTTGGCCAGGCTGGTCTCAAACTCCTGACCTCAGTTGATCTGCCCCCCTCGGCCTCCCAAAGTGCTGGTATTACAGGCATGAGCCACTGCTCCCAGCTCCAATTTATTAAGTAGAAATTTTGTCAATAGCTTTAAACAACAAAGTCCAGTTTAAAAAAAAGAAGAAAACCTTCAAGAAACAAAAAAACAATTTTAAAGGTTGATACTAACAAAACCTCATCTTTATGCCAGATTCACATGTCTGACTACTTGCTTAAGAATTCTACCTGAAGGTTCAATGCATCTCTAACCTAATACAGCCAAACAGAAACTCCTGTTCCCCACTCTAGCCTACCCTATTTCTCTCTCATTTTTCAGAATATTTGTAAATCGTACCGTCATCCAACAAGCCAAAGATTAAACTGATAAATCTGTTCAACAAAGGGCATCATGAACAAAGCTAACAGACCGATGATGGTGTTAGAAAAGGTATTCTGTAATGTTAAAAACTGACATGATATTCATATTTAAAATATACAAGGAACAACTACAAATCAGTTTAAAAAATACATCATCTACATATAAATATGGGTAAAATCTAGTACCCACAGGAAGAGGTGTTCAGACTCATTAGTAATTATAGAAATTTAAATAAATACAGTGAGTTACCACATGATTCCTATATACTTATATCCAGAAATTTTGATAATATGAAATGTTGGTGGGGAAATGGGGCTAATTCTAAAACACAAATTAAAAAAAAAAAAAACCATGTTGCTGGCCTGCTAAGACCATTCCAGATAGCAATCTGACACTAGTCAAATAAAACAAGGACATGTCTTATGTTCTAACAATTTCCTTCCTAGGTATATATCCCAAAGAAATACACAGGTCCTTAAGGGCATATATGTGAGTCTGTTTATTACATTATTTGTGGTAGTAGAGCTGAGTTGGGTTGGGACACTAAGATTTTGAAGCAATGTGCTATCCATCAGAGAGTGGATGGGCAAATGTACTAGTTGTCCATCACATAGTGCTATTAAAAGGAAAAGAATCAATGCAGACATAACAACATAGATAGATCTTAAAAATATAATGCTAAGTAAAAAAAGATCGTCAGAAAAGACATGAAGACATGAATGAAGCTTAAATTTACATCACTAAACAAAACAAGCTATTCTAAAAAGACTACATACTGTATTATTTCAATTATATAACATTCTGGATAAAGAAAAACTATAAGAAGACTAAAACGATCAGTCTCCCTGGTGTATGGGAAAAGTGGGGAGCAATGAATATGCAAAGCTCGAGGGATTTTTAGGGTCTTGAAACTATACTTCATGGTATTTGGTGGCTACATGATATTATAGGATTCTTATTTATCAAAACCTATAGGGCTTTACACAACACAGAGTGAACGTTATTGTATTCAAATTTTAAAAAATCATTTAGAAAGTTGGAGGATCTCCGCAAAGAATGTAGACTGTGACAAGAAAATCTAATTGTATTACAAATATATGGAACAACCTCATTGTATGGGGTAAGAAAGGTACTGACCTAACTTTGGAAATGAATAGAATCCGTAAAAGTAAAGGCAAAAGGACCTGCACATAACTACTGCACTCGAGCTAATAAAGTTGTTTCCTACAGGGGTACACGTTAACAATTCTTATATCTGCCTACAAGTTCTTCATCTCCATCTGAGACCACCGCAGCCTGGATTTCATGGTCCATATCATTATCAGCATTTTGGTCAACGCCATCCAATAAGTCTCTAGGGAGCTCCAAACTTTCCCACATTTTCCTGTCTTCTCCTGAGCCCTCCAAACTGTTCCAACCTCTGCCTATTACCCAGTTCTAAAGTTGCTTCCACATTTTCAGGTATCTTTACAGCAGCGCCCCACTCCTGGGACCAATTTATCATGTTAGTCCATTCTCATGCTGCTATAAAGAACCGTCCGAGACTGGGTAATTTATAAAGGAAACAGGTTTAGTTGACTCACAGTTCCACATGGCCAGTTAGGCCTCAGAAAACTTACAATCATGGTGGAAGTGGAAGCAAACATCCTTCACATGGTGGCAAGAAGGAGAAGTGCCACGCAAAGGAGAAAAAGCCACTTATAAAACTATCAGATCTTGTAAAAACTCACTCACTATTAGGAGAACAGCATTAACTGCCCCCATGATTCAATTATATCCACCTGGTCCCACCCTCGAGACATGGGATTATTTCAATTCAAGGTGAGATTGAATGGTGGGGACACAGAGCCAAACCATATCACCACCTATATCAGAACTTCCCCCACAGACATTTTTTAACTGTTCTGATTACAGCTTTAGAATTAATTACACAGATACAGAGGAAACAGAAATTATTAAGTGACATAGTGCCATAAAATCAGTTCAGATTTTGGAAAACTCCATAGAACAAATGACAATGTTTTTTCAAAAAAAAAGTTAAAGGAGAAAAAGAAGAATAAGACAAAGAAGGAGAAGAAGAAAAAATGGAGACAGAGAGACTTATAGATTAAAACGGATTTTAAAGAAATAGCCAATTGCAACGTGTGGATGTTGTTTGGATCCCTATTCAAATAACAAACTATGGAGAAAACATAATAAACTATGTTTTCAAACTATGGAGAAAACATAACAAACAATGGAGAAAACATAAACACTACATTTTACCATATTAAGTAATGATTTTTAACTTTATTTAGGTGTAATAATGGCACTGTAGTTACGGTTTTTAAATTATACTTTAAGTTATAGGATACATGTGCAGGTTTGCTACATAGGTATACATGTGCCATGGTGGTTTGGGGCACCCATCAACCCGTCATCTACATTAGGTATTTCTCCTAATGCTCTCCCACTCCTAGCGCCCCACCCCCTGACAAGCCCCAGTGTGTGATGTTCCCCTCTCTGTGTCCATGTGTTCTCATTGTTCAACTCCCACTTAGGAGTGAGAACATGCGGTGTTTTGTTTTCTGTTCTTGTGTTAGTTTGCTGAGAATGATGGTTTCCAGCGTCATCCACGTCCTTGCAAAGGACATGAACTCATCCTTTTTTATGGCTGCATAGTATTCCATGGTGTATATGTGCCACATTTTCTTGATCCAGTCTGTCATTGATGAGCATTTGGGTTGTTTCCAAGTCTTTGCTATTGTGAACAGTGCCGCAATAAACATACATGTGCATGTGTCTTTATAGTAGAATGGTTTGGTATGTATAAAAATATCTTTAAAAAGTCATAAAAACAAAATATATTTTGCAAATCACATACAAACAAAAAGATAAAATGATATATTACGATGGTTTCCTATGTAATGTAAAGGAAATCTAGAGAACGACAGAAAAAATAATCAGCAAATCCAAACCAAACAATGAAACAAAGTGATCAGTGATGATAACGTGCCATGAAATAAGGAGCATGATTAATGCAACTATTTCCACTAGAAGCCCAAAGTAAAGAAACCAAACAAAAGCAAAACACAATAGTAATTTTATATGCATGGCCCTAAACATTTTAATTTTCATGAAATTAATGTGAATCATTTCAGTCTTACAAATGAAGACACTGAGACTGACAGAGTTCCTCAGGATTGGCAGTCAGTATACCACCACAGTCAAGCCTCAAACTTCCCACTCAGAGTCAGAAGCCCCAGAACACCTAAACTTGTATGAAGTAATTTAAAATTTCCAGCCCTAACAAACCACCGGATTGTGACGCCATGTTGCTTCTTCATACACTCGCTTATGAAATATCTATGCTCTAATTAAATATGATATACAGTCTCCTAGTTCCATTTCAGTTATGAATGCTTCCCTTTCTTTGTGTCTAGTTCCTTTCTAGAAGAGCCCTGTTGCAATAAACTTGTTTTTCACTTCTATACTTATTTTTTAAGAGTTTTTAACATGAACAGATGCTGAATTTTGTTAAATGCTTTTTCTACATCTATTGAGATGTTCATGTAGCTTCTTTTTTGGGGTATAAATGCACATTTCCAAGTAAAAAGCATTGTAGATAAAAGGAACAGAGAATGAAATTTTGAGCATCGATTTATTAATGTTGCACATCAAATTTTATGCTAAGTTCTAGTTAGAGTTGGTTTCATAAATTGTTTTAAATGAAGTGTATGTTAAGGATAATTTTTTAAAAATTATACACTATTTAGCTTTAGAAATAAAATTCTTTAAGACAACCTGGATGACATGCAGCATTAAGTGTTGCTGCTAATAATCTTAAAGCCACATTTAACCTATTCAAAGTTCTGTCATGAATGTAGCCACAATGAACTAGTGCTTTCAAGGGCAGCAATCTGTACATCTAAGATGTAAGTTCAATGAACACAACGTAAGATCTGCATACTGAGTTGTATCTATGGCCAATTGGTCTAGGCTCTTGTCATTAGAAACTGCTTCAATTTGTTTTTCTCAGGGAGAGGATAATGTAGCAATTAAGGGCATGAAACAGTGCCTGTGTGACCAGAATGCTGGGTATATGCCATCTCTGTACCTTGCTAGCTGTAAATAATACCTTGTGCTTATGTTTTTTCACCTGAGATATTGGAAAAATAAGAATAGCTACTTTACAGAATTGTTGTGAGCTTGTTATACAAGTTAACAAAAAACAAAAACAAACAAGTTAATATACATAATCACTCAGCATGGCGCTGGACACATGGTGAGACTCTGTCAGCATTAGCCATGATCACTATTTTCATTATGAATGAAGAGCCTGGCTGCTCCCCACGTTTGATAATTGTTATTGATAACTAAATGTGAAGCTCCTATCTATGAATATCACTAAACCCTCTCCATGCTAACTTATAGGACAATGAGGTACGTAAGAATTTGTCTGAAATAGCTGGTTCCCAAGGGGAAGTCCATGGATAGACAGGCTCAGGGCTTCTATAAACTCCTCAGATAATATTTAAAATTTTAAGTGCGTTTATAAAGGTACATTTTTATGGAGAGAAGGTTGACAGTTTTTATCACATTCTCAAATGGGTTTATGACCCAGAAAAGTTAAGAATCTCTTTAAACTCTAAAAGATAAAATCCAAACTCTTTCCCTGGCACAGGAGCTGATATCTAATTGCTTCTCTGCCCACCTTTTTAGCCTTATCTACCACCATCTCCTTTTCTCTCCGAGACACAACAGGTTTTCACCAGTTCTCCCAAATAAACTGTGCAGTGTCTTAACTGCACACATTTTGCTCATCTTGTCCCCTCTAGTGGTCTCCTGATCCCTTCCCTCTTGGTAACACTGATTCTTCTGCCTATTTTGAGGCAGGCTCAGGAACGCCCTCCTCCAGGAATCCTTCCTACGCCAGTCTGTGGCATGGCATGTGCTGCTTCTCTGGGCTCCCATAATATTCTCTACATACTTGCAATGCTGTTTTTTTAAAAAATCTCATTCTATAGCGTTGTTATATTTAGTGAAGAGACGGTTAGCTCTTTGAGAATAAATTATCCACCTTCAATCCAGCAAAGTGCCTGATACAAATAAGTCCTTAATAATATTTTGATCGAATGAATACATTTTAAAAATTGTTCAATGCCTTTTATTTTCATATGGCTTTCTCTGCTCCTGGAAATACTATATAGTATGAAATAAGCTCAGAAAAAAATGTTAAGCTTTCAATTACTATTACCAAAATTTCAAAGAGTGCCCACTTCTTAATAGGCTAGCATCACTCAGGAGAAAATCAATCCTCCTCCACTGTCCCTTGAGCAACATTGTTGTATGTTAAACTTGCCTGATAAAATGAGACCAATGTTCTATACTCTGTGCCTTTTACCTTGAGGACTCCTACTAGGGATAAAATTGGCTTACTGTCATAAGACAATTGGAAAGGCCAATGTCTCCACAATGAATCAATTTTGGGGGTCCTCTGTCATCATGCCTTTTTCCACAGAGGAAGCAATCCCGTTCCTCATCAACACTATCTCAGCTAAAACAGAATATTCTTCCTTCTTGATAAGAAAACTGATTACATCTATTCCTTTCTTTCTATTTAGAAATTTATCTACATGCAATAGCAGGTGGCAGGTAACTGGGTGCAGTGGCTCACACTTGTAATCCCAGTGCGTTGAGAAATCAAGGTGGGAGGATTGCTTGAGGCCAGGAGTTCAAGACCAGCCTGGACAATCTAGCAAGGCCCTACTTGTAAACAAAATTTTTTTTTAATTAGCCGGGTGTGATGGTACATGCCTATGGTCCCAGCTAATTGGGAGACTGAGGCAGGAGGATCGCTTGAACCCGGGAGGCGGAGGTTGCAGTGAGCCAAGATCGCGCCACTGCACTCCAGCCTGGCAACAGAGTGAGACTCCATCTCAAAAAAAAAAAAAGTCTGTATGTATGATAATTTTCATAATTAAAAAATTGATTGGGGAGAAAAAAGCCATATAGATTTTTTCAATGCTGATATGGATATGTCCCCACTCAAATCTCATCTTGAATTTTAGCTTCCATAATTCCCATGTATTGTGAGAGGGACCCAGTGGGAGGTAAACAAATCATGGGGGCAGGTTTTTCCCATGCTGTTCTTGTGATACTGATTAAATCTCACAAGATCTGATGGTTTTATAAAGGGCAGTTCCTCTGCACACTCTCTCTTCCCTGCCACCATGTCAGATGTGCTTTTGCTCCTCTTTCACCTTCTGCCATGATTGTGAGGCCTCCCCAGCCAGGCGGAACTGTGAGTCCATTAAACCTCTTTTTCTTTATAAATTACCCAGTCTTGGGTACGTCTTTATTAGCAGTGTGAGAACAGACTAATACAAATGCTTACTCCTAGGTGAACCTCATAGTGCGCAGAAGATATGTAAAACTGGTTATTTTTTTCTTAATCCTTTTGGAGCCTTCCATATGTATCCAATAACATTTAGAGAGTAACTGTGGATTCTTATAAAGAAAAGGTATAGAAGCAGCATTCAGAAAATTCCTAGATTGTTGATGGATTTGCCATGGATTCACTATGTTGTCCTATGCATAATTTCTTCATCTCAGAAGTAGGAAAAATGTACCTAGCCTGCTTACTTAAAAGGGCTGCTGGGAGAAGCAAATGAGATGATGATGAAGGTAGTTCATAAATTGTAAAAGTGTTAAGTGGACCAAAGTGTTCAGTATATAAGTAAAAATGTTATTGTTTTTTAATCTTCCATCCTTTTGGATACAGAGGATATTTCATAAATCATGCACGGCGGTCAAGAGATTTAGTATATTAATATTCAGTATATCTTCAATGTTTAGACTATCAGATCTACTTAATATTTTATAAGCAGTTTCTCAGTCTGATTCAGAAAACAATATGAAATTGGGAATACCTCTCCTCTTCTATGTTTATTCAAACTAAGTTTCTCTTTCTGTGTGTGTCTATCACCTTAGGTTATATCCTGCTAACCTGCTTTCAGACTCTGAAACTTTTTAAAAAAAAATTCCACTGGTATACTATTCTGTATATATGTAAGTCAAGTATCATAATTCAGATAATAACAAAGTTATGAAGAATTAATTAGAGCTTTTAAAAGACAAACACACTAGTTTTCAAAAAAAAAAAAAAAAAACAACAACAACAAAAAAAACCAAATCCTTCTCAATAGACCTAAGATCTAGAATCCTTACTTTCCTTTTTCTTAGTAAAACTGTGTGGTGCGTGTGTGTACTTATATATTACATGTGTTCTATGTATATGTGTGTATTGTGGGGGAGGGAGACATCTTACACAATTCCTTGAAAGAGCTTTAAAATATCTAGGGTAAATGTATGGTCTGAATAAATACCCTCCAGCCCCACCTGTCCCAGCTTAACTTTCTTTGTAAAATTTTCCACTTTTCTTCACTTTTAGTTTTGATTACTTTCAGAACAAGTAAGATGAAAATTCTCCCACATTTGGAGGAAAAAACCTTAATTGGCCGAGAACTAGAACAACCCAGCTGGAGCTGTATGGAGCTCTTTATATAGAAACTTTCACTTATGCCAATCTTCTTCCCAGAGGCTCATTTCATTTCCCTGCTGGTAACACTCAAATCACTTCACAGTTCATTGATAACTGCATTGGCAACCTTTTGTTTTCAATCAAAGGAAGATGCTGCAGCAATGCTCAATTGAACTAAGTATACATGACACAGTGTACCAGTGTCCTTGCCACAGAGGACTGTGGGAGGGGGGATAAAGGAAAAGATGACATCCTGCATCCAATATTCCATTACTTTACCTAGAATTGGATTATGATAAATTATGGTGACAGAGCTCAGACAAATGCTGATGCCATCTTTTCTATTGTTGCACCTGCACACAACACTCTTATGGATTGCATCAAGTCTCCAAATTGATTCTCTGTCACTCATGGTTGAAAATGAAAGGCCAATGTACAAATAAGTTTTTAAACAATTTCCATGAAGATTGAATTTGATATTTCCTCCCTTACTGCTTTGAAATCACTGAGGGTCACAATAGGTTTTTGCTGATGAACACCTTTCTATAAATCTTCCTTGGTGAAAGACTTCTCTAAGGTCAAGGAACCTCTATGCTGTGTGGGTGAGAGGCAGGTATCAGGGTAGTGTTTCACTCCTTTCCCCTTGAAACATCATCATACCTAGGTTGCTTTAAAGCCCACCACCACCACCACCACCACCACCACCATTATCTGCATGTATTTGATGTATTTGTCCAGCAGTAACATGCTACCAACCACCAAAAGAAACAATTACTGTCCCAAGTAAGCACCCAAAATACAAGGAAAAGGCAAGTGTCAAATGCGAAATAAGTGGATCAAGTTATAGCCTCTGACTCTTAACCAGGGATGTCCAGGCAGCCCACATTTTATAAGAGGAGGCAATACTGGATGCTTCTGGTAATGGAATAATACATTTAGATTATCTAAAACTTCCTATTTATTTAGACTTGGCTAGCATTAAACTGTGAAAATTGTTATTTCATCTTTTATCAAAATACGCAATTATTTGTTTTTTAAAGTTCAGAAACAAGAAAAGTTATAACTCAATAAATTTTGTTTTAGGTTTAGAGTATTTGAGGCCCAAAGGAGAAAAAAAAATTTAAAAAAAGTGTTTGGTTGTTCCTAATGTTCCTCATGCACTTGCCTCCCAATTCATCTGTTGAAACCTAATCACCAATGTGATAGTATTAAGAGGTAGAGCCTTAGGGAGGCAATTTAGTAATGAGGGCAGAGCCCTCATGAATGGGATTAGTACCTTTAAAAAAGAGGCCCTAGAGAGCTTAGTTGCCCCTTTCGCCATGGAAGAACACAGTAAGAAAGAGCCAACCAGCCAAGGGGCCCTCACCAGACACTGAATCTACTGGCGTCTTGATCTTGGACTTCCCAATCTCCATAACTATGAGAGATGAATTTGTTGTTTATAAAACCAAGTTTATGGTATTTTGTTATAGCAGCCGGAATGAAGACAAAAGAAGATAAAAATGATCCAGATGAAGGAGGTTTAGAGGGTTTATTTGGAAATGCTCCATAGAAGACAAAAATTTTGAGTAGGGTTTTAAAAGACAAGAATTACTTAAAAATATTTTTGAAAGTGTACAGTGAGTTCAAAAAAGCAGAGAAAAGAGTAGTTGTGGAATGTTCGAACCAGTTTTCCCTAGACCAGAAAAGGAGTCTAAAAGGTTTGACACAGAGTTCCACCATGCCTTAGCCCCATACCACAGATGTTCAAGTAGAAGAGGTGTCGAAGGGTTTATAAGAGATGTGGAGCTGGGGTTTGGGCCAGGAGATTCTTTTTCTTTTTCTTTTTTCTTGAAGAAAGTATTGGTTAAAAGTAGGGTGAAAAGTACTTCTCCAGTGTATGCTGGTATAATTAGTGTCCATGAATATCTGCAGCACTTTACAAACATGCAGCATAGTAGCTCTCAGTCATGCTGCGCAAGATACAAAGGCAAAATCCCAAATACGTGTGCCATGGTTTTGTTTTTAACTTGGAAAAATGGTCTCACCAAAACAGTTTTATAAGCCATTATTAGTTCCCAGTTTAGCACAAAAAAATCAACTTCTATAAGGGAACAACAAAAAAGGGTAAACAATAATACAAAAGAAAACAAATGTATTTCAACTGCCCTTCCCATTTAATACTCAACTCATAGTAATATAGTTTCTACCCATACTGTGCCATAAAAACGTATCAAAATTTCTTCCTGGCTTTCTACCTTATCAAATTTCTTCCTGGCTGCCAAATCCATTGTATCCTATTTATTCTTGATATCCAAGCTCATCACTCTTTTGCCTTTTTACATATTGACAATTTTCAAGGTATACCTCCAGGCCAGAACATATATCCTTTTAGGCAATTCCATTTGGTTCCAAAGATAGATCTTTCTCTTTATATCCCAGAGTCAACTGCTGATCTTCACATTTTGATCTGCTCTTCCCATTTGCTCTATCTCAAAGAAGAACAGCACCCAGTTCCCTAATGCAGGATGCAGTTATTATACCGACTCCTCCCTCTGCATTTCTACGATGAAGACTTCTGAGCACACATCCCAACAAACTCCATCATTTTTCCTTCACTCTCATGTTTACTTAAGTTTACTCACCATTTGTTCCTTGGATTTCCAAGAGAATTGGTTGGCCTCTATTTCTTCCATAAACAATCTATACTCCCACCAAATTAAACTTTCTAAAATGTCAATCAAATGCCACTCCTTTGATTAAAAAAACCCTTAAAACCTGACCTTTATTCTCAATATAGAGACCATCTTCCTGGGGATTCAAGCAAGCCCTCATGCTCTAGACCCTGCTTCCCTCCAGCTGCACCTCCAATGGCTCCCCGTGATCCAGCAATTTGCTGTTCCCCAAATGTGCCAAGTTCTCTTGCTTTATATTCCTTCCACATTAAATGTCACTATTCCTTTCTTTGCCTGACTTCTTAGCAGTCTTGAGTTCAGATATCATCTCCATATCACATATGGAGTCTTGATATCATTTCTTAGAAACTATTCAAGTCTCCAAAACTGATTCTCCATCACTCATGGCTGAAAGGAAAGGCCAATGTTCACGTAAGTTTTCAAACAGTTTCCATGAAGATTGAATTCGGTATTTCCTCCTATACTGCTTTGGAATCACTGAGGGATCACCTTAAGTTTTTGCTGATGGATATCTTCCTATAAATCTTTCTCAGTGAAAGGCTTCTTTAAGGTCAAAGAGCCTGCATGCTGCATGGGTGAGTGGCAGGTATTAGGGTTGGGGACCACCGGCCCTGTGTCCCGTCTGGGTAAGATGCTTTATTCCTGCCATCCCCCTTGCTCCCAGTGTTTTCTCATACATATTTCTGAATTTTAATATTTATTCTGTCTCTTGTACTAAACTGTGAGCAGCAGAATAAAGGCAGTGCCTTTTATTTCTGTACTCTGAATGCCTACCACAGTGTCTAACACATCATAGGTATTTACTGAATGTTTGTTTTTGAAGTATCCTACTCTGTGAATCAACAAAACAGACAACAATAGCTACAAGGTAAAGACAAGTGTGTAGTTTAACTTCTTAAATGAAAATTAGTTTAATTAAACATGGATAAAACCATAGAGGAAAATTTTCTATGGAGATTTAAAGGGAACACTAGGGCACTTAAAAAATGAGAACTGTATAGCTCTGGAATTTTATTGTCTTATTTCATACTAAAATACAAGGTTTTCCTGCTTATATGTATGAGATTAACACATACTACAACAGGATAGGTTTTTGTGTTATTTTTTTAAATGTCATGTAGAGGAGGAGGAAACAACACAAAAGAAAGGGGAAAGAGAAGAAGGAGAGAATGAGTATTGAAAATTGTTCCCTAGAAAGCCGGGCAACAATTGAAGAGAGGGAAAAGAAGAGGAGGCTTAGCGAAGATGTGTCTGTGTGTATTCCATGTGAAGAAGAACCTGCTGCATGGCATGGCAGAGCAAACAAGCCAAAGAAAGGACAGAGCTAGGCAAGGACACAATTTGAAGGTAAAGAGTATTTCGGCCAGGCGTTGAACCCTGAGTGGCAAAACTTTCCCAGGGCAACAAGCTGAGGTGGGTGTAGGCCAGGTAGGAACAGGTATTCACAATGCGCCTTTTGGAAGGCGGAGGGAGGTTGGGAAGGTCAGTGTAACAGGGCATTTCTGGTATGAAATGCCTAGTGGTCCTTTTTCAGACTATTACTGCATCAGATCTTTTTCAATTTCAGTATCAATCACCTACCAAAGAAACACTGCATATAACCTTGGGCAGATCACATAAATGTCTCTGAAATTGCTCATCTATAAAACGATCTCTAAAGCTTTACACTATTCACACTATTTAATAGTTTATTATATTTAATAATACATATTTAATAGTTCTGTGATACTATGTAGTTTATACTAGGAATTCTAAAAGGCCAAGCAACAATAAAAATTACATGAAAGATACAGAGGAAGAATAAAATAATAATGATTATTCCAAAGAAGGGAATTAAAACGGGTAATAAATAGTGTGGGAAGATTTCAGTGTTGTCTAGAATTGAGAACTCTCTGTCGCCTACTCAAAATCACACTGAGAATCACTTCTTTGATGTTATCACTGATGAGGTTGTGCTGGACATGTGCACACAAGGGTAGACCGACCCAAACGCCCAGTTCTCAGCAGAAACCATCAGGCATAGCAAATTTATATCATGAATATTCAGCTTCTATCAAACTCCCAGCATATTTTATCATATTCATTACCAGCATTACAAATGTATAATGTAAATAATGTTAGGACATTATATAGTAAATAATTGATCTGGTGAAAGAGAAAAAAAAAACAAGCAGCAGTAAAGCATGACTAAAATGATGAGGAAGAAATATTTACAACATATTTGCAAGTTTGCTCAAGTGAGATAAAAACTGACAGAAGTCTTCTCTGTGCCACCTTCTCCTATATCAGATACTGGAATCCTGAGCGGGAATCACCGAGCAAGGTTTAGGATAATGTAAAAGCCATGCCTTATTAACTCTTGGACATCTCATTTCTTGGTTATAAATCCTATTAACTTGTATTACAAACTGCCATAAAACTTGGAGATAAAAGATAATTTATGCTCAGTGTACAGAAGCTAATGTTTCTGTACTCCTGAGAAGCACAGGACCAGAAAATGAGAAAGAATGTATGTGAAACCTAGAGCCACCCGCACTCCACACAGGCAGCATGATAAACATGGCTCTGAGCACCTGACTCTTCAGCAGGAAGATGGCCTAACTAGTTACTGACATCAGCGATGTTTCATATCTGAAATGTCTGTCATCTATTTCATAGCATCCCCTCCTCATAAAAGGTGATGATGTCTTATCAAGAACACATTTTTGGAAGTAAAAGAAGGATGTTTATTTAAAGGAAGGGACTATTATGCATCCTATTTTGAATTTTCTATTTTTCGAATGGCAAATTGAACATTCCTACAAAGTAAATGCTACCTACCAAGGTTTTCACTCATAATTACATTTTGACCCATAGTAAGTGAAATATGCCAAAAATACAATATGAAAAACCTTACATGCTAAAAAAAACAACCAGCTAAAAAAATTCCAAACACCTTCCCATATTCATTTTAACTGGAACTACCTCATTGTATCCTTGTTTTAAAATTCAATTTATAACTAATAAAAATACACCACAGAGAGGGGACTGAAAAGAGAACACAGACTTTAGACTGAAACAACTATACACTTTAAGTGAATTGCTACTATGACATATAGGTCAGTCCGAAATGACTAAAATAATCTTAATGAATGGAAGATAATTACTTATTTACACAACCTAGTCTCATGAGAGTCTCATATGTAAACACTCCAAAAGAAACACAGAACATCACAGAAAGACTAAGATGATATGAGGATAGGCTTTTTTAAAAAGATCAAGAAAAGTGCATTCTGGTTCCAGGGACTAGGACTATTCTAGCCAATTAAAATTAGTGTAGCAGATATAACACAAGCTCTCTTACCAAGTTACTAGACTAAAAAAATGATCAGATAAACAGTTGCTGTAAGATGACTTATTCCTCCTACTATTATCTTTAATTTCAGATCATCTAATTGAAAAAAAATTCTGGAACACTCTAGGCTCAAATCTAACACTCGTAATAATTAACATTTATATTGAATTTTTACCACTTTTAACATACTTTAGCAAAGCTTAATGGTAAATCACTTAGTCTGCTTAAATGATGAAAGATTATTATTAGATGTAAATTTTATTATAAAACTTCAGAAAGTCATTTTTCCTTAAGGATACAGCAACAAGATGAGGTAGATCCTTAAAGTGCATCCAAGATTTATTTTACTTGAAAATAATATCATAGTGGAAAAAACATATATGTACACATATACACACACACATATATTTATACATACACATGCATACACCAACTGGCCATCAGTTACACACTGCTTATGGACAATTACCAGCCTATGGGCTGTGACTTGTTTCAAGAGTTTATTATTTGCATCTTAGTCCATTAACCCCATGAAGGAGGAAATGTAATGTTGTGGAAAAAGTGTTGAGACAAAACACTTCACTGTGTGACCATATTATCCTGCTTTTCTCCCAGTATTGTTATAAGGCTCAGATGAGATGCTTCTTGTAAAAGTATCAGTATTATCTTCCTCCTCAACAACTATATGTTAACTTTAATTTAAAAAAATTTAAAAATTTAGAGTTTTGAAGTCATTCTTTATTTGGCGCTAAAGCACACGAGACATTTTCTTAAGCCTACTTTTGCAATATTTTTAAATGATTTCAGTTTAAATTTATAACATTTCTCCTGCCCATCCGGACTGTGACTGTATGTTCTAAAAATAATGAACAGTCTGCTGTAGATGTCCATTCTGAATACCTTCCCCAAAGTATGCACACCATGTAATGTATAGGCACATTTAGTGCATGTATCACATATATTAATGATGCAGTTATATGAAGTAACACCTGACAGAGCCATTTCAGCCCCAGTGGTGCAAGTCTCATTTCTAGGATGTAGAATGCTTCTGTGCAGTAATTTTATAGTAGTTTTTTTTTTGTTTTTTGAGACGACGTTTTGCTCTTGTTGCCCAGGTTAGAGCACAGTGGCGCAATCTCAGCTCACTGCAACCTCCACCTCCCATGTTCAAGCAATTCTCCTGTTTCAGCCTTCCAAGTAGCTGGGATTACAGGCATGCACCACCACGCCTGGCTAATTTTGTATTTTTAGTAGAGACAGGGTTTCACTATGTTGGTCAGGCTGGTCTCAAACTCCTGACCTCAGGTGACAGGCCCGTGTCGGCCTCCCAAAGTGCTGGGATTATAGGCATGAGCCACCACACCCGGTCTCTAGTAGTTTTTAACTGATTTTTAGTATTAATCCCATTCACGGGTATACAATTAAAACTTGTTACCAATATGGTGGATCACATGAGATCCATCCATACCTTAAACCCCCAAACATATTCACTTCAACATATGCATTTGTGTTACTAATTTTCTTGCTATTCCCTTACTAAAAGTGATAGAAAAGCAGAGAGCCAGGCTGTGTCTCGATAAAGAACTCCCTAGAACAGAGTGGCCAAGACGAGCAAAGGCTGCACTGCTAACCCCACAGGTGGAAGCCTGTGCCTGCCATTGTCACTCCCTTAAAGAACAGAGAGTGTAATTTTGCATGTTCTTTTTGCACCACACTATGTAATAATTACTTCATTAGGATAAGGTAATTTTGTAGTTATTCCAATGACACAAAATCAAAATTATCACAGAGAGAATCTACATTGCATTATATTTGGGGATTTGGCTATGCAGGTACCCTTAACATGTTTACCACTTTAGAGAACTGGGGATTCCACCTTAATAACTAACTAAAGCCTAACACATTGTATGTTACATTCCTATAAGTTATGTAGGGTCATGATTCCAGAATTTCTTTCAAGATATCCATGTCTGGCAGTTTGAGAAAGAATTGCTTTGTAAGTCAGTGTTTCCTCTTCCTGGGCCCACAAGCTTCATTTCCTAGACTGCCTTTGCAGTTGGGCTGGGGCGGCAGAACTTCATTCCTGCAGAAGGTGACACAGGTTATAGGCAGGCCTGGCCTGTAAAAAACATGGTGCCACATTCTAGTAATCAGTTTCCCTGCTTCAGCAATGTGTTCCAGTTAGCTTAGATATAAAATGTGGGATGCCTCTCAAGCCACATCAGATATTCTATTAATAAGAAAAAAAAACTTAATAAACCTAATCTTGGAAAGCCTCTCAGATCTGGAGTTGATCATCACTGCAACATAGACGGAGGGGGGGGTGGGAAGTAACTGAGGTACAGAGGCAATATGATAGATTAGTGCCCTGGCCAACTGAAAACAATACAAATACTAAAAAAAAAAAATTAAGAGAATCTTCTAAAATGCATCAAATGTATCTTTAAAAAAAAAAGAATTCTAGGAGGCAGAGGCTGCAGTAAGCCTAGATCACGCCACTGCACTCCAGCCTGGGCAACAGAGGGAGACTCTGTCTCCAAAAAAAAAAAAAAAAAAAAGAAAGAAAAGGAAAGAAATAAGAATTTTGCCCAGAAGCCAAAAACTACATTTTGATATAAAAAGAAGGCCAAGGCTAACTTTCATCTGGAGAGTGTTTAGCAAATCAGATGAACCTGAGCTTCAGTTTCTAAAGCCCCCAACTAGGGAAGGTTGTCAGAAGACAAAGCCCAAGGCCTGCCCAAGGTTGACGTCTAAAAGGATGCTGTACCACGTAAAGCAGAGATCCAAAATATCAAGATGAATATGAACAACACTCCCACTGGTCTGCTAGGAAAAGTGGCCAACCAAACTTTGGCACTCCATAACTGAGAAGATGAGAAAAGTCTCCCCTGAGCATTTGTAACCAGACATCAGATTCTCAGCAGTGTTACATTCAGAGTCTACACTGACAACGTGGTCCAAAATAGTCTCAGACAAAATGTCCTAAGTACTTAGTGCTCCCACAGAACTGGGCTACAAGTCCACTCAGCAGCCAGGCAAAAGCAAATGTAAATTCTCCTTGGATTTACTTTTAACCCACACCTCAAATAATTCCCACACTTAAAGTTCTCAGAAATGTGAGGTCCTGCCAAAAATCATAAAACAGAGAAGGAATTGAGGTCACGAAATGTGAAAGCAAAAGTGAACACAAAAGGCAGCTGGCTTACATTAGAATTATTCTAGACTATAAAACCAGTTTGATAATTATGTTTTAAGAAAGAGCCCCTTGAAAATGTGAGTAAAGGGCAAGCGTGTAAGAAAGAATAATCATGGCAGGAATTAAAAACGCAGAGGGTGGGTCTAGCGGCAGATAGGTAGAGCTGAAGCGGGACAGTGAACAGAACACAGAGGTGGTGAAGAACTTCAGAATGAAGCCCAGAGAGATTAAGACATAGAAAATATGAAAGTGCTGAGATATATATGATACAAGTAGAGGATCTTAAATACATTTAATTGGAGGTACAGAAGAAAAGAGAAAAAGAATAGGGCAATATTTGAAAACATAATGATTGAGAGTTTTCCAGAAATGATGACAGACAACAATCTATAGATGGAAGAAAATCCAATGAATCCCAAGCCAAATGCATTTCAGAAAGCTCATAATTATACCAATTATAGGGAAAACACAGAAACCCAAAACAGTAAAAATACCTTAATGTAGAATTCATATTTTAGATGTGGCTTTTTCTATCAGTGAATCTGCCAATTATAATTTTAAAAAGTATTGTACTGCATCTTTAACTAGTAATATATTGACCAGAGCATCTATACAGAGACAAGTTATGACTGAATACTTTAGCAGTCATACCATCAATTCAGTGCAATAGAACAAAGCTCATTGCTTCACAATAGTAGTAAGTTTCAAACTTCAGAAGCTGTTGGGAGTCTATGGGTATTTAACAAACATATAAATTGATAAGAAATCTAAAAAGCATATCTGTACTGCTAACCAAAATCTTTTAATGACTTTCCAAAACCTATGGCAAAAAGAAGTTCACATTCCATTGTGTGGAATTTAAAGCTCTTCACAATCAGTATCCCAATTAGTTTTGTATCTTATCTTCTGGCATTCTTCCATACCACAGCCCATATTGTAGCTGCACAGCCCATATTTTAGCTGCACAGAATTACCTGCAAATCCTATAACACATCCTGCATCTCCATGTTTCTTCCCTGGCTCTTCTTGCATTAAATAACTTTCCCATCATCTTCCACAGCAAGAATCTACTCATCCTTGAAGATTCTGTTGAATTGTAAGCTTAGTAGAAGGTACATTGCATGAAAGGATTTCTGTTTGTATTGTTAACTGCTCTATCCCTAGAAAGGAGCCTGGCAAATAGCAGGTACTCAGTAAACGTTTGTTGAATTAATTGAGTGAATACAATGTGAGTGCCTCTGTGAAGACTTTTCTTACTACACACATGCTCCAGTTTTCTATTATTTCATTTTTTGGTACTAATCTTTCAACATTGCATTGTGATTACATTTGTATAAATGGATCTTTCATTGCACTTAATCTGGAGAGCAAAGATCACATGCAACTATTTATTTTTATCCTTAATTGCTAGGCAGTGCAACAAATACGTAGAAGGCAGTCTGTAACGGTTGACAAAATACATGGATAGTATAGTTTGAAATCTGAATTCTTCTTCTCCCCTTCCATATTTATCCAGAAAGCAACATGGCTAGGACACGCAAAGATCCAGGAAAAAAATGCAAAACTGGCTAAAGAATAGTGAGCATGCACTAAACCCACCCTATTAACCAAACTACAATTTCTAGTAATGCCAGGCTACAGATGGTGGGTAGCAACAGGGTAGCAGCAAAATATAAGTAGTAGACCACAATGAGAGGCAAAAATGGAAAGTACTGTCCACTATCTTTTAAAAAAAAGGTTACCAAATGATATTTTAAAACTGAAATCCACCAATAAACCTCATAAAATTTGTTTGTTTAGTAAGAATTCTGTTCTATGCACTACATTGAGAGAAAATGTCGTTAATGTTTATCACTGGAAATGAAAGACATCATTAGAAATTATTCTGAGACAGAGAAACTAATCACCAGGCAACTTATGAATAGTAAAAGCTAAAGACTGTCTTCTAAGTGCCTAACGAAATCAAACCCAGTTTCCAGTTATATCCAATGATAATGACAACACTCAAAATACGTAAGAATTACATTAGCAACATTTGCCAAACCTTGTGTTTCCCCTATTGAGGTTTTTCTCAAATGTCATTCACATTCAGCTGTTCAAAACGCAAAAGTGCTCAATTTAATTCTTAGTCAATTTAGAGTTACAACACTTTCTCTTGTTTTTTAGACACAATAAAATGAAAACTTTCAGGATTCTCCTTCACATTTTTGCTGGTCAGTGACCTGGGGCAAAACTAAAGTGGCCACAAGAAAGCGCACATGTTCAATTCCACTCACAGTTCGAAGACCCAAGCAGGGCCAATGTTTTCTTCTAGTCTACTCAAGTGGTAGAAGCTTTGTGAAGGAAAGGGCTCACATTATATTCACTTTTGACTCACTGGTTGGAGCAGGTAGATCAGCGATTCCTCTTGGATTATTATAATTGGAAAAGGAGTGATGTGAGTCGCTTGGAACAAGGTATTCACAGATGCCATAATCTGGTCAAAACGCCCAGCAAGGCCTCCCAGTGTCACGATCACATCAACCTAAGCAAGGAAGGTAAAACTGGGAGTCACATAGAGTCACATACAAAAAATAAGTAAAAATACAGAATATTGGTGTTTAAGTTTTAAAATAATACATTAAAAAGGCTTAATGTGTGATCCATAAAGATGGCATGACTTTAGAATAATAACCTGTTAACCAAGCACCAACAGAACCTATTCAATTCCTAGAGAAATAGGTGGTATCAGGTCATGAAGCCAAATGTTGTGTTTCTCTGGTTCAATGGTTATACCAGTGATTTTGCAAAGTGCTTTACATACAAGAAGTTCAAGAGTTTGACGAATGAATAAATGAAGACATTGCAAGAAAAGACTCATTAGCCTAAAGAAGAAATAGATTAATTGCCATACTGTGGGAATGTATACTTCAAAATGGGGTTCCATAACAGCACTAAAAGTAAATTATAGAGAAGAACCAAGTTCTGAAATGAGTTTCCTATCTGTGACCTTATCAGAATGTAAGAAGAATGGGAATTTTTACTAAGGGTAACATGCTTCACATTAAGCTTAAAATATTTTAAGACAGGCAAACCAATAGCTAAAAGATTATAACTGGATTGTTTGTAACACAAAGGATAAATGCTTCAGGGGCTGGATACCCCAGTTTCCATGATGTGATTATTACACACTGCATGCCTGTACTAAAATATCTGTATGTTCCCCAGAAATATATACATCTAGTATGTACCCAGGAACATCAAAAATTAAAAATCAAAGAAACCAGGCAGGCCGGGCACGGTGGCTCACGCCTGTAATCCCAGCACTTTGGGAGGCCGAGGTGGGCGGATCACGAGGTCAAGACATCGAGATCATCCTGGCCAACAAGATGAAACCCTGTCTCTACTAAAAATACAAAAATTAGCTGGGCCCACGTGGTGGTGCGCACCTGTAGTCCCAGCTACTGGGGAGGCTGAGGCAGGAGAATCACTTGAACCCAGGAGGCAGAGGTTGCGGTTAGCCGAGATTGCGCCACTGCACTCCAGCCTGGGCGACAGAGTGAGACTCCGTCTCACAAAAAAGAAAAAAAGAAACAGAAACCAGGCAAACCATACATCTAAAGGATCTATTATTCTCCTTGGACATCTTTTTAGAATTCGAAGAATTAGGTTTTGTGGCTCAGAAAGACCATGTACTCTAGGGAGTATGTATTACTCCAAATACACAGGCAATTTCCAGGACATCTGTTAATATTCAGAGGAAAGAGTTAACTTGTAAGCCATTAGACAAAGACTTATCAAAGGGATGGCTTCTGTTTGTGATATCAAGTTAGGTAACTGATTTCTATTTATGTTTAGGAGGCCTTATTAAAAGGGCCTCTACAGACCAGTTGGGAAAGGCCCAGAGATTATTTATGACTTCAGAAAAACTACAGCATTTGCTTTAAACTGAAGAGAAATACATAAATAAGAAATTGTATATAAAATATAGAGAAAGTTCTAAGGCTGCAGTAAAAAGCTCATGGCATATGCCTATCCACATAATCCTAAATTCATATCAGAAGCAAGGCCTGATAAAAGTTTATTCACTATACAGAATCCGAAATCCCCTTTCTAGGTTCTCAATTTTTCATTACTATACGCTAAGCCTTGAGGGATCCCATAACCTTTAAGACTGAAATTTAATCCCCATCTTCTACAATGGGATATCATGATGAACAGGCAATATCTGTAAATCAATCATTAAATTTTTCAGAAGAAAGTAGCAGCAAGATTACTTCTCATCACTACTCATTTTCCCTACAGGAAGTATTTAGCAAGATTGATTAAAAACACTAGAGGATCAATGCAAGCTGCAGGTGGGACAGAAAAGGAATTGGCTTTGGATCATTTTTGCAGTTCTTTAGTTCTGGCTGTAAGTAGGACATTTGAAATTCACAGAGATATCGGAAAGAGGACAGAGTGTTCAATCTAAAATAGACCATTTATAGACTGCAAGTGTGTCTTTTCTACATGAACCCAAACCCTGGTGCATTTATTTCTAACATCACCCAGTCATACTTGGTTATAAACATTGACATACTTGTGAATCTCTCCTTCTAGAGGAGGCCTATGAATCACAGCCGCTAGCACAGTGTTTGCAACAGAGTAGACAACAGGTATTTACTGAGCTTCCCTTGAGCATATAAATACTCAGGAAAAACTGAATAAATAACCAGAGAGGCAAGAAGCTAATTATTCAGCTGAGTTAACATCACCTAACTCCTACAAAATAGTACTTTCTTACTTGGAAATGATTCCAACAGGTAGTAGCTTTTGAAAAAAAGCAAACACATCATACTTATTAGCTCAGATATACATCTGATGCTTTTAAAAGCTTTAGTTACAAGCTAATGACAAGAAAAATTCAACCAGTGTTTGTTGATCATTTACCATGTGCTAGGAAATATCCTAAACACTTAGGATATATCGGCAAAAATACATAAGCCCCTGCCTTCATGGAGTTAATATTCAAATGAAGGATAATATACACTTGATAAAAAGGTTTTTTTAAATGAATATATAAGTTAGAATGTGAAAAAGGTGAAAAATATATAGATATTTAAAATATATAGATATTTAAAATATATAGATATGATCTATATATTTTAAAAAGTCAGCATGCTGAGTGTGTTGAGAATAAACTGTGGAAAGGCAAGAAGGAAAGTCAGGAGATATAAAGAGATCATTATAGTAATACAGATAAGAGATAAGTTTGCTACCCCTTATTACTCCATCAAACATGATTATTCATGGCATCTACACAGCAAAACTCAGTGGTCAATTCCCAGTCCTTTTATTACTTAATCCTTCAGCAATATCTGACAAGTGAAAAAAGGTAAGGATAGCTTAAGAGACTTATGGGACACCATCAAGTATAACAATTTAAACATTATTGGTGTACTAGAAGAACAAGAGAAAGAGAAAAGAACAGAAAATATATTTGAAGAAATAATGGCAGAAAACATCCCCAGCCTGGGGAAGGAAATAGAAAGCAAATACAAGAAGCCTACGATATATCAAATAAGATAAATCCAAAAAAGACCCACACCAAGACACATCACTGTCAAAATGTCAAAAGTTAGGGTGTTGAAAGCAGCAAGGAAAAAGTGAATTGTCACATGTAAAGGAATCTCCACAAAAGCATCAGTGTATTTCTCAGCAGAAATATTGCAGGCCAGAAGGGAGTTAAATGATACATTCAAAATCCAGAAGGGGGATGGGGGTTGTTCTGTCAACCAAGAATACTATTCCCAGCAATCTTGTCTTTTGAAAATGAAGAGGTAATAAACACTTACTCAGACAAACAAAAACTGAGAGAGCTTATCATCACTAGACTTGTCTTATGAGAAATGCCAAAGGGAGTTCTTCAAGCAGAAGAAGAGGATACTAATTAGTAACATTAAAATATATGGAAGTATAAAACTTTAAGTATAAAAGCAAGTATATTGTCAAATCCAATACACTCTAATAACGAAACAGTGCTGGGTAAACAATTATACCTCTAGTATAAAGGATAAAAGGCAAAATTACCAAAAACAAAACTACAGCTTTAATAATTTTTCAAGTGATTATATATTATAAAAAACATAAAACAAGACATTAAAAACATAAAATGTGGGAAGTAGAAGAGTAAATGTGTAGTATGCGTTATGTGATCAAAATTAAGCTGTTATCAATTTAAAATAGCCAGTTTTAAGTATAAGATGTTTTACGTAAGCCTCAGGGTAACCACAAAGCAAAATCCTATAAGAGATACACAAAAGATAAGAAGAAAAAATCTAAAGCATACTACTCCAGGGAGCCATCAAACCACAAAGGAAGAACACAAGAGGAAAAAAAGAACAGAAGATCTAAAAAACAATTGCTCTACAGAAAACAATGAACAAAATGGCACTAGTAAGTCTGCACTTATCAATAATTATTTAAATGTAAATGGATTAACTTTTCCAATCAAAAAGCATAGAGTGGTTGAATATATTGTTTTAAAGACTCAACATGGAATGCCTTTTTTATTCCTTCATTTTCAGTCTATGAGTGTCCTTTAAAGACTTACTTTACTTTAAAGGATACTCATAGGCTGAAGGTGAAGGAATAAAAAAGACATTCCATGAAAATGGAAGCAAAAAGAATGCAGGGGCAGCTGTACATAATACAAACAAAATAGACTTTAGGCAGAAAACAGTAAAAATAGACAAAGAAGATTCTTATATACTGACAAAGGGATCAATTCATCAAGAGGATATAACAATTGTAAATATATGTCCACCCAACATTAGAGCACCTAAATATATAAAGTAAACATTAAGAGATCTGAAAGGAGACAAAGACTTCAACACAATATTAGTAGAAGATTTCAATACCCCACTTTAAACATTAGAAACATTAGACAGGTCATCCAGACAGAAAATCAGTAAGAAAACACTGGACTTGAACTATACTTTAAAGTACCACAAATGAACCCAAAAGACATATACAGAACATTCTATCCAACAGCAACAGAAGACACACTCTTCTTAAGTGCACACGGAACATTCTCCAGAATAGATCATATGTTAGGTCATGGAACAAGTCTAACAAATTTAAGAAGATAAAAATCATATTAAGTACTTCAACATAGTCCTGAAAGTCTTAGCCAGAGCAATTAGGCAAGAGAAAGAAATAAAAAGCATCCAAACAGGAAAGGATGAAGTGAAATTGTATCTGTTTGTTGATGTCATGATCTTATTAATATACACAGAAAATCCTAAAGAAGCTACCAAAAAATGGTTTAAACTGATAAATTCAGTAAAGTTCTAGGGTGCAAAATAAAAAATCAGTAGTTTCTATATAGTAACAACGAACCGTCTGAAAAAGAAGTGAAGAAAACAATCCCATTAATAATAGGATCAAAACATGTTTAGGAGTATATTTAATCAAATTATAAGTGAAAGATCTGAATACTAAAAACTATAAAACATTAACAAAAAATTAAAGATGACACAAATAAAAGATATCCCATGTTCTTGAATTGGAAGAATTAATACTGTTAAAATATCCATATTACTCACAATGCTACAGATTCAATGTAATCCCTATAAAAATTCCAATGTAGTTCTTCACAGAAATAGAAAAAAACATTCCTAAAATTCATATGGAGTCATAAAAGACACCAAATAGACAAAGCAATAATCAATAAAAAGAATAAAGCTGGAGGTATCACACTACCAGATTTCAAAATATATTACAATGCTATAGTAATCAAAACAGCATGATACTGACATAAAAACAGATACATCAACCCATGCAATAGGATAGGGAGCTCCAAAATAAACCCACGTATCTATGGTCAATTGATTTGCAACAAAATTGTGAAGAACACACATTGGAGAAAGTGTAGTCTCTTCAATAAATGATGTTGGGAAAACTAGATATCTACATAAGAAAGAAAGAAATTGGAGGCCAGGCATGGTAGTTCATGCTTGTAATCCCAGAACTTACGGAGGCCAAAGCAAGAGGACTGCTTGAGGCCAGGAGTTCAAGACCAGCCTAGGTAACATAGCAAGATCCCATCTCTACCAAATAAATAAATAAATAAATAAATAAATAAATAAATAAATAAAAGATAAAAAGTAAAAAAAAATTAGCTTTGCATGGTGGCACGCATCTGTAGTCCTAGCTACTTGGAAAGCTAAGGCAGAAGGATCGCTTGAGTCTAGGAGTTGCTTGGGTCCTTACCTCACCCCTTATGAAAGAATCAACTCAAAATATATTAAGGATTTACACATACGAGCAGAAACCATAAAACATAAGAAGAAAACATGCAGAAAACGCTCTATGACCGACATTGTTTTGGGTAGAAACTTCTTAGATACTGACCCCAAAATCACAAGTTACAAGGGCTAAAATAGACAAATGGGATTGGTTCAAACTGAAAGGCATCTGCACAGCAATAGAAACAATTAATAAAGGAGGCACCCATGAGCTGGGAGAAAATACTTGCAAATCATACATCAGATAAGGGGCTACTTTTCAAAATATACAAGAAACTCAGACTACCCTGTAACAAGATAACAAATAACCCTTTTAAAATATAGGCAAAGGATTTGAAGACATTTCTCAAAAGAAAACATAGAAATGGCCAACAGATATGTGAAGAAATGCTCAACATGCTTTAAACATCAGATGAATGCAAATTAAAACCACAATGAATTATCACCTCACAACTTTTAGATTGGCTATTATCAAAGAGTTGAAAGATAAGTGTTGGTGAAGATGTGGGGAAAAGGGAAACCTTATACATACACTGTTGGTGGTTTTACAAATTAGTACAGCTATTTTTCAAAAAAATGTATGGAATTTCCTCTAAAAACTGAAAATAGAATCATGATATGATCCAGCAATCCCACTACTGGGACATACCCAGTGGAATGGAAATCGGTATGCTGATGAGATACCTGCATTCCTGCATTCATTGCAGCATTATTCACAATAGTCAAGATATGGAAATAACCCAAGTATCCACCTAATGGGTTAAAAACTGTGGTATACATAAATAATGGAATACAATTCAGCCTTTAAAAATAAACTAGGAAATTCTATCATTTGTGACATGAATGAACCTATATAAGCCAGAAACAAAGAAACAAATACTGTCTGATCTCATATGTGGAATCTATAAAAGTCAAACTCATAGAAGTAGAGAGTAAAATGATAATTATCAGAGCCTGGTGTTGTATGGGGGAAAAAAAGACATTGGTCAATGAGTACAAAGTTACAGTTAGAAGAAATAAGGTCTGGTGTTCTATTTCACAGCACAGTGATGACAGTTAATAATGTATTATATATTTCAAAAGAGCTAAAAGTGAGGATTTTCAATGTTCTCACCACAAAGAAATGATAAATACTTAAAGTGATGGATACTCAAATTATCCTGATTTGATCATTCCGCAATGTATATACATGTATCAAAACATCACTGTGTACCCCATAAACATATAGTCAATTAAAAGTTTAAAAAATATTCGTGCATACATACATAAAGCTACTCAGCACATACCTATTATGCCGTATTTTAAATATATAAAATGTAAAATATCAATTTCTGACTGCTTTCCATATATTTCCTAAAGTCAGGATATTTTACATGGACCTTTTTGTTTACAAGATGAGTGTGATGGGAATAAAGGTGGCCTGTGGTTTTCATATGCAATCCCATCTAGCGAAAAGGACCTTGAAACCCTGGATTAAAACATTGGAGGTCTAGCTATAGCACTGTATGCCACTTAAGTAGCCATGGAACCACATATATGTTACATGACCTCTTGGTGATCTAGGTCACTCATCTGTAAAGGAAGGGGATGCACTAAATTCATTATCATATTTTTCAAGATTCTTTTCACGTTTAAGTCCATATAAGGTTCTCTGTTTTCCACCATAAGTTAAATAGTCATAGTGTGTATTTTGTTTAGAAAATAAATGCAAAACTCAGCTTTGCATTATTTACCTTAATAGAATCATGACAAGACTGGTTGAGGGACATATAGCACCAAAAGAGAAGTAATTTCATTTTTCTATTATAGCAGTAAAAATCTTTTAGTAAATAAGTGACAAGTTTTACTCCATTTGTCCTCAAAAAGACTTAAGAGACAGTATGCATGAAGTCTACAGCAGGCACACTGGCTGTCAGCATGTTTTAATTACATTTACTTCCCATAAATTGAATTCTAGAAATGCATAAATGGATAATTTCTTTGTGGCTCTCCCTGATAGGGTGATCATACAATTTAATGTACAAACTGAGATACTTTTGAAAGTAAAAATGGGGCATTATAAATAAATTACACCAAGAATACAGGCATAAACTGGGACTATCCCATGTAAACCAAGGCACATGTTTACCCTACTGTCTGAGAGTTACAACTAACATTAGTATAGCAACTTAACAAAATTAAACACTAGGGTATAAAAAATTTAGATTATGCTTAATAAGCTTCCTTTAACTCTCAAAGATGTGTACTGCACTCTAGTGAGGCTTCAATAGAATAATGAAATTCTTGGTTTGTTTGATTCCATAATTTGAAGATGGAAGAGCCAATACAGCGTTTGGAGGAATGAGTGGGATCAAGATAGAGCAAGAACAAATAATCTGACCAAAAAAAAAAAAAGGCAATACTAAAACATGTTTTAGTAAGCCTATAAAATAATTCTACTGATTAATATGAAGCTCAATGAGAAACCAGAGAAAGTAAAGAACTCGTATTTTATAGTACCAAGGTATGTTATATGAACAAACACAGGATATATCTTGTTGCATCTTGTCAGGCTATGGAAGCACTACTACAGGGATCCTGTTTACATTTCAAGCAGGCTACATTATAATGTAAGGTCCAGTTTCATGTAAGCATGTTTGGGTGAGATAGAAATAATGCCTCTTGCAGTGGCAAAATTTTGAGGCTTCCATTCATAGATAAGAAAACCAAGGAAATTCTAGATTTATCTCAAATAATTCTTATTTCATCACTGTTGCCACAGCCTTAATTCAGAAATCATAATTCTCACATGGATAATTCCACTGGCATTCTTATCTACAATGTTGCCTCTATAACCAAGTAGTCTTTCAATTGGTTATGACAGTAAGTTTTCCAAATATTAAATCTGGCTTGCCAATGTTCTGCTTAAAATTAGGTATTGGTGCCGGGCATGGTGGCTCACGCCTGTAATCCCAGCACTTTAGGAGGCTGAGGTGGGCAGATCATGAGGTCAGGAGATCAAGACCATCCTGGCTAACATGGTGAAACCCCATCTCTACTAAAAATACAAAAACTTAGCTGGGCGTGGTGGCGGGCGCCTGTAGTCCCAGCTACTCGTGAGGCTGAGGCAGGAGAATGGTGTGAACCTGGGAGGTGGAGGTTGCAGTGAGACGAGATTGCACCACTGTACTCCAGCCTGGGCGACAGAGCAAGACTCCATCTCAAAAAAAAAAAAAAAAAAAAATTAGGTATTGGTTCTTCAGGCTCCACAAGATGAAGTCCATTTGCCTCCAGTCCTGTCTCATAAATCACATCTTCAACTCCCACCCCACATTTACATTCTAGAAATACAATCAGCCCTCTGTATCCATGGGTTCTGCATCCATTGGTTTCAACCAACTATGGATCAAAAATATACAGAAAAAAAACTGTGTCCGTACTGAACATGGGCAGATTTTTTTCCTTGTCATTATTCCTTAATCAATACAGTATAACAATTATTACATAGTATTGACATTGCATTAGGTATTATAAATAATCTAGAGATGACTTAAAGTATACAGAATGATGTACATAGGTTATATGCAAATACTATGCCATTTTGTATCAGGGACATGAGCATCCACAGATTTTGGTATGCACAGTAGGTCCTGGAACAAATCCCCCATAGATACCAAGGGACAACCATACTTTAATTCTCAGAACACGGCTGGGCGTGGTGGCTCACGCCTATAATTCCAGCACTCCTGGGAGGCCGAGGCAGGTAGATCACCTGAAGTCAGGAGTTTGAGACCAGCCTGACCAATATGATGAAACCTCGTCTCTACTAAAAACACAAAAATCAGCCGGAGATGGTGGCATGAGCCTGTTATCGCATGGTGGTGCACATCTGTAGTCCCAGCTACTTGGGAGGCTGAGGCAGGAGAATCGCTTGAACCCGGGAGGAGGAGGTTGCAGTGATCCAAGGTCGTGCCATTGCACTCCAGCCTGGGCAACGAGCAAAACTCCATTTCAAAAAAAAAAAAAAATCTCAGAAAACCTCACAAGATTTCCAACTTTAGTGCTTAAACTATCACCTGTCCGCTCCTTTCCTTGTAAAGCATTTAATTACTGTAAGTATTTCCAAAAGATGCCTACCTCCACCACCTAAAAAAGTGAACTTGATTGGATAGAGTGTTTTCATCCTACTTTTCTAAACTCTTAACATAGTGTTAATAAGAAATGTCATAAATGTGTTGTCTTAGCTCTGGCAGCTTTAACAAATTAGACTGAGTAGCTAAACAACATTTATTTTTCACAGGTCTGGAGGCTGGGAAGCCCAAGAGCAAGGTGTCAGCAGATGCAGTTCTGGTGAGGACCCTCTACCTGGTTTGCAGATGGCCATCTATTCATTGCATCCTCACATGGTCACGGCAGAGAGTAGAGAGAGAGAAACAAGCTCTTTTTTTTATAAGGGCTAATCCCATTCATGAAGTCTCCACCCTCCTGAACGAATTACCTTCCAAAGGCCCAACCTCCTAAATACAATCACACTGGGGGTAGGATTTCAACATATGAATTTTGGGAGACACGAACACTCAGTCTATAACACATGATTATAAAAAATCTTTTTTTCAACATGTTATTTTTTTAAAAAAGGTGTTTTTAAAAAAGGAGGAGGAACCACACATGAAGAGTCAGCAATGTACACAAGCTTCTTTGCATTTGAAAAACTACGGGAGCTGTGATGAAGATCTGTGCTAAGATATGCGTCTGCTATAAATCATAATTCCCCCGGTAAAAGTTTTAGCATAAAATCCCAGGCAGTCTATACTCTCATTAACTCTCTAGCACTGATGCCCCTGTACCTCTCTGGAGAGCTCAGCCAAGGGACTCCAACTTCCTTGCATAAGTGGAAGAAGAAAGTCTTGCTGGCAGAGGTCCCTGACACACTAAGATAGGAACCAGCAGGAGAAGAGTCCAGGAGAGAATGACCAATCCCAGTGAAGTTCTCTGCTAGCTTGTTAAAGGAAGCAAATGTAAATATTGCCTGAACCCAGGGTGTATGTGTGATTATTACATTCTCTCAGGACTGCCTATTCTTTGACATTCCAGAATTAAGGGGTTTACCTTTAACTTTGAATACTCAAAATAAACACTCCCCTTATTCTGGTTAGCCCTTACTATACCTTCAAGACTCAGCAGACTGACCACCTCCACTAGGAAGGAGTCTTTGAACACTCTAGGCTGGAAAACGTTTGCTTCAATGGGCTTCTCACCCACCCTATCAGACTTCTACTGTAGCACTACTGACAGTGTATCCAGATAATCTGATTACAAGTGCATCCACCCCCAAAGACAGGACAGTCTTAGAGTCAGAAACTGGGTCTCATTCAGTTTGCATTTCTCAATCTATAATACTTAGCAGAGTGCCTGGCACATGCAAAATAGATGTTTGTTTAGCTGAATAGTTATAGTTTTGAGCTTTCAATTTTGTCAGAAAAGATCAATCAGCACCAAGTATATACTTTAAGGCTAATTTCTGAGGTCTCTATTCCTTTCTCAAATTCTTGATGGAGAAAATGACTAAAGTATTGTTCTTCAAAGAACACTGTAATTGGTTCATTACTGTCATTAGATTTTCCATCCTTCAATGCAGCTTGCATACAACCATTACATTATTTTTCTAAATTGCCTTATGATTTTCTGTTCAAAATTTTTTAATAGCTTACCATTATCTATATAGATCAAGGTTCAAATTTCTTATCTAGAAATTAAAGATTCTTCATATGTTGACCCCAAACAACCTAAATCTGTGACTGCTGTGACATTTCTCCTCCTTTAGAGCACTCCCTAGCTACAATGGATGCAGTGCTTTTATCATAGGTGTGTTCTGTTTACCCTCAGATTGCTTCAAAGAATCTCTGAAAGCACTTTAATTTCAGGTACTCTGGTCATGACAATGTATAGGACAATGACAGAGAGTTCACTCCCTGAACAATGAAAACCTTTTCTGATTCACCCTAGGCAAGGATTTTGAATCTTTTAATTAAACATTTCAAGCCTGGTTGCCTTATGATTTTGTAATAATCGTGGTTGTAATAATAGTGCTTTCCTCACAAAGCTGTCTTGAATATTGATATTTCCTTGATTAACTGGACTATAGGTTTTCAAGCCAGATCAGTGAGATCCCTATAGATGGGACATTTTTTGCATATAAACAAAAACAATAACCTTATATCTAGAAAATGTAGAAATGTGTTATTTTTCTTCCCCATATAAATACACCATGGGACAGAAAGGGCAAATAAGCAGGTATTTACATTTCCCTATATCAGAAGTGAGTGATAAACGAGAGGTGAATGGAATAAAAAAACCGTTGTGGGAAGTTTCTTTTTTAACATAATTTTATTCAACTTATCTTTGCTGAAAATTAAATTCTTTGAGGAGAAGAGCAGGAATTATGAGTAAATAACAATACATAAAATTAGTGTCTGTATAAACAGCATAGATATTATAAAACCTACTAGAGGTAATTATGGTGTCCGAACCTCTCATATTCTCAGGATATGAAGATATTTTAGTGAATTCAAAGGCATTCCTTTTGAATTACGGGGGTTATGAGGAATGGAAAGATCCATTGTTTGTGGTTTAGAATGGTCATAATACCTAGTGTAGCATCTTTAACACACTAGGTGTTTAGTGTAAAATGAAAAATAAAAGTGTGACTTATATTCAGAAACAATTAGCTATTTGAAGACAGTCTTTTGAAAGGATATTACAATTTTATTTTATAAATGTTGCTTGGTACACAATTGAAAACATTCCAAAATTTATTGTTGAAGTCTTACTCAAAAAGTACCAAGTATTGTTTACTCTGGCTAAAAATTCTCTAACATACATAATGCCCCGCTAAAGTTGAATACCTGAAAGAACACGAACCAGTCACTCCTTCCCTTTCCATGGAAAATGGGTTATGATAGCTCAGAATCTGTATCCTCTTTCTTCAGTCACACCCACCAATGATCAAGTTGACAAAAGACAATTTTCCAAGCCACTTTGGAACTGATTGACTGTGATAAAGACATGCTCTGGTCCCAGGAGATTAGTATATCTGTACTTGTGATCATTTCTTAATAGCAACTATCCTCTCTTTCATTATCATGATTCGTTTTAATCTAAGAATATTTCTTGCTTGAATTCAGCCATGAAATAAGTCTTAGTCGCACAGTCTTATTGAAAGTGATACATGAAACACCTGGCTTCCATGTCTGCATAAATTAGATTTGGCTATTTGTACTATTTTTGGTGTATTATTTCCCCCAAAGTTTAGTGGTTTAAAACCCTCTCCACTTTTTATTGCCCAGTTATAACAGGTGGCCATCAGACTTGCTGTAGTGCAATCCTTAGATCTAGCAATCTGGTGTAACATACACAGTTTACATTAATTATCCCCTTTCCACCTTCTGGGAGAACACAGAGCATTTTGATTGCAAATTTTGTACTTTGCCATTAACATTCTGGTTTCTAGATATGCACTGGACCATTTCATAATGCCAAATGAGAATGTTAAACATATTACTGTAGTGACATTAATTAAAGTGTATTTCTTGCAATGCAGTTAAGTTTGCTTCACAATGCAGTAAGTTTGCTTCACAAGTTGAAGCAACCCCAAGGTTGACCTTAAAATGATAAGCAATGCTATTTGCTATTTTACTTAAACGTATTCCATATCCATGAGCATCAAAGTAAATCTGTAATCTGGGATAAAATATTTGTTCAAATAATAATTTCCTCTCTAAAATAATTCCCTTTATTTATATGAATGCTTTACAAAAAAATCAGAATCTTTAGGGTCAATCTGATACGCATCTAAATTCTCTAGTAGAAATAGATGAGGAAACAGAATTAAACTGCAATCAATATAACTTGATTTAGATATTCCTATTTCCTATATGTTTCAAGATACCCTGATCCGGTTGTTCATATTGAGAATTATATACATCGACATATATGTTCACAGGGGAAGGTACACAGCAGATTCAGGAAAGAAGCTAGAATCATCTTATTTCTACTCCATGCATCTGGATTTTCGTATGCCATTTTCTGTTTTGAAACGGCACGTTAACCATGGAGTGCTAAGTACAAATGGGAAAGCAGAGGGTCATGGACACAACAGAAACATCTTCTACTTCCAGCTACTAACAGAAGAGATGGATAGAAAGTGAATACTATAGGATTCCATCTTCTTCTTTAACTTACATGGAACTTTCTGAGATACCTAGGCTCATCACCTAACACAAAGCAAAAAATTACATGCATCTCTTTTCTTCATTACCTATTTAATCACCACTAAAAATATATCGATCTGACATATGTAGACCTGTAATGACCAGTAACATCATTACAGTTTTTCAGTCATGACTTAAACTATAAGCCAAACTTTTATTTTTGTTTGTTTGTTTTTGAGACAGGGTCTCACTCTGTTGCCCAGGCTGGAGTGCAGTGGTGCGAGAACGGCTAAACTGCAGCCTCGACCTCCAAGTCTCAAGCTATCCTCTCCCCTTGGCCTCCCAAGTAACTGAGACTAAAGGCATGCACGACTACACCCTGCTAATTTTTGCTTGTTTGTTTTTATAGACGAGGTCTCACTATGTTGCTCAGGATGGTCTCAAACTTCTGGGCTCAAGCAATCCTCTGCCTCAGCCTCCCAAAGTGCTGAAGTTATTGGCATTAGCCCCTGTGCCCAGCCCCAAAACATTTCTTAAAAATATAGACAGTATTATCATTGTGGACAATCATAATTATAGATATAGGGACTACCACATGTAATATTTCTGGCTAAGGAATATACAGAATGAGGACAAATTTTATAATCTACTAAGTAATTTCAGGATGTTCTATTATATGTGAATTTTTCTTACAAAAGTCCTCAATACATAGTTTCTCCATCTGTAATTTCTGCATTCTCACAATGCGGTAATTCAAAATAAAATACTCCTTTTCATGTAAGGTCAGCGTGTCTTTTGCAGAGGAGCCCCACACCAACCAAATCTGGAATTCTCTGCATTAATAAGAAATTTTATCTGGCAAGTGAGTCATCAAGCTGAGATTCCTGGTAAGCAGATAAACTTAACCCTTGTCTTGGGGCCTATAAAAAGCATGCTTCTCCTCCGGCAGGGATGGATTAGGTTGCCACAGCCTCTAAGGTAGTAAGCTTTTTATATCCGTAGCAACATCTCCCAAGTCACTTCAAAGCACTGGGTTTATCTATTTTCTCTTGTTGCACAGCACTATAAAAAAGATTGCTGATCTCTAAGAAGCAGAAATAGAGATGTGAATTCCTCTTTTGAAGGCTTCTCCAAAATGATCTAGGAAATAGCCTGCTAACACAGGCTGATGCCCAGAAATCTGTTCCTTCTCTTTGCCTCTTTGTCTGATACTTAGCTTGCACTGCGTTTGTTCCAAAATCTGAACATATTAAGTAGCTACTTTGGCACTCAACAAACAGAACAATGTTGTTATATACTAAAAAGCAAGGATTGGTGTATGTAGACATATTTATGTGTAACTGAATGATTGAATATATATATAAATAAATATATGTGTCATGTTACTTTCTAGAATCTTATGAAAATTATCAATTTAAGCTTACCATATCCCTTTGAGGTACACTGGCACAGGCAAAAAGGTAGTGAAACTTGTCATAAAAGTATTACGATGCCTCGGTTACACAGCTGATGTTGGAATTGAACAGTATTCCTTTCACTGTTTCTTCTTCAAGAAAGACAGCAAGATTTATTATTATCAAGTTCACAATGGCAATGGCATATGAGACAAGCTTTATGTATTCTCATGTTTTAGCTCTTGACTTTTACAAATAACTTAGAACTTGGAGGAAGCAGTTCCAAAAAGTTATAAAATACCAATTAAGGAAATGAGAGGAAGATATATGGACTGTACAATTTTTACTTACACACAACATACATCCTATTGAAGATCCTCTGTTGTAGGTAAAAATACTGAAGGTATTTATAATCAAATAATCATACACAATCATATAATACTGGATATATAACCATTTACAACATAATTATATATATAATCATGTAATAGTAGATATAATAATGGATATTTCCATGTACTGCCAAAATAAAAAATTTCTCAAGGGGTAAGTTCTGTGGCAATAGAATAAGCCCTGTTAAGTTAAAGCAGATACTTAATGTTTGCTAACATTTGATAAGAGTTTGTTACAACAAGATTCTTCTGTATTTGTTTAACTACTGATTCATTTAATAAATATTTATGAAGTGCCCGCTATGTGCCAGGTATTGCTTTAAATGCTGAGGACACAGCAGAGTACAAACATGCAGAATTCCCTGTCCATGTGAAGTTTATAATATATTGAATGAATATGTAATAGAAACAAACATCCTAAATATGTAGTATGTCAGATGGTGACAAGAAAATGGAGCAGGGGAAGATATAAGGATGGCTTAACCAAGGGATTCAAGAGGTAGAGCTGAGGGGTGCTGCCTTAAATATGATGTTCACAGAAGGCTTCAACATGAGCTGCAATTTCATTAGAAAAAAACTATATTATTCCATTTTCTCAAAAAGGAATTATATATAAATAACTGCAGAGTAATCTATCCAAAAGAAGTTGAATCTATTCTGAAGAGGCAAGTTACAGTATTTATTACAGTAGTCTAAATCATTCTATGGTCACCTGTAAATCTGTCTCCTCTATTAGACCGAAGGCTGTTTGAGATTATGGACTTAGTCACGAAATCACAGCATACTGACTTAAACAGAACAGATATTAAGTAAAAGTTTGTTAAGGTGACTGGAAGAAGATACCTAATAGCCTCTATAGTATATCTAAGAGGAGGAAGTTTGCCTGTGGAACTCTAATATGAACTTTTGCCTAATTTTAGGGTAATATAACCTTTCATGAGCATAAGGCCTATAATGTCCATACTAGGATTAGCAAGGGTAGAGCAGATCCTTCCTTTTTTCTCCACACAAAGGCAAGGTACAAAAATAGTTACCTGGGTTGTACATCTCACTCTCTGTTGGATTCCACTATTAAATATAGAGATACATTTAATATATATAGGTTCTCTGGGAATAGGGGAAGTTCCAGAACTCACCTGGGAAATACATTAACATGTAATAAGTTCTCAGTTTAATTCAAGTTTCTGATATTGAGAGTTCTTGTAAAATTAGAGTATGTCCAAAAAAAAAAAAAAAAACCCACAATACTCTATTGAGAGTCCCATGAACCTGGGTAAAAAACTGTAACTAATTTAAGAGATTTCTAAGACATACTCTAATTCTTAAGTGATATTATTCCACAAAATCTATTACATTTAGTTGCACAAGAGTGTATTACAATTATTACCACCACTATCGCTAATTTTTAAAATAAGGACTTCCTATGGGACGGGCACTGAAATACGTGCTTTACCATGTAATGCTCTGTTATAGGTGGGTTAGTATTTTTACTTTACAGATGAGAAAATCCAGGCTTAAAGAACTTAAATACTGGCCGGGCGCGGTGGCTCACACCTGTAATCCCAGCACTTTGGGAGGCCAAGGTGGGTGGATCACCTGAGGTCAGGAGTTCAAGACCAGGCTGGCCAACAAGGTGAAACCTCATCTCTACTAAAACTACAAACACTAGCTGGGCATGGTGGTGTGCGCCTCTAATACCAGCTACTCGGGAGGCTGAGGCAGGAGGATTGCTTGAACCCAGGAGGTGGAGGTTGCAGTGAGCTGAGATCACAGCACTGCACTCTAGTCTGGGTGACAGAGTTCTCAAAAAAAAAAAAAAAAAAAAAAGAAAGAAAGAAAGAAAAAGAAAAAAAAAAACAGCAACAACAAAAAAAAACTTAAATATCTTTCTACTGTCATGCAGCTAAAAAGAGTGCCAGGCCTATCCTGAGCACCTGAATACCTGACTTCTAATTACAGTGCTTTGAAGATTAACATTTTATTAAAGTTTAAGGTGGTATTATTACTTTCAATAATAAGCATATTCATTGTCACAATTGGTAGAGACAAGCAAGATTCTAAAGCACCTGGACACATGTCACAGGAGAATTAACATGGCATCAAGAATGCTAGCAACAAGAGTCCTGAAGAAAGTTCTATACGCCAGCTAAGTTTTAGCATAATGTCCTTTGGAATAGAGAAAACTGATGTTATTAGAAATGCATTTATTCATTAAATAAATATTTCTTGAATACATAACAATGAGAGACAATAAAAAATTTAAAGCAGATATAGATTTAAGATATATTATATGAATTTTGGTAAGATAATGTACTGAAGGGGGCGAGCAGAGGCTAATATAGTAACCCAAGTGAGAAATGATAAATGTTTGAACTCATATAGTGGCAGCAAGACTGCCATAGGACAGAGATCTGAAGAATTTCAGGGAACTGTGACCAACTGTCAAGGGATGGTAGAGTAAGGCATAAACTTACTCTTAGGTTTCCGCCAGGCAGTTGGATGGTAGTGCCATTGAATGAGAAAGGAAATATAAAAAGAGAAAACGAGATTCTTGTGAGACTAATAATGAATTTTGTTTTAGACAATAAAATGAAGTTCCTCTGG